>NC_000007.14:120991627-121294657 GCF_000001405.40 Homo sapiens | reverse complement strand
CAAAACAACCTTGATGTTATCATACTTCAGTCTTCCTACACATCCCTCTGAATCACCCTTTTCCAATGGCATATAAGCCCTGGGTCTGGGGTTATAATGGTGCAGGGATCCACCATTTTGTTTTGCTGCCACCTGAGACACAGACATGGCATCTGTTTGTAAGTCCCTTTTAAATGTTTCTTTCTAAGAAAACGGATTTGTTGGCCTCTTCCTTCAGCTTCTCAGCTTCCTGAACTTTTGGGGGTAGGTGTGCATAGATCTTCCCACCACAGAGAACAGCGGTTTTAAGAAGCATCATGCATAAGTTATAAAAGGGTATATAACAAAAAGTTTATTTCCTATTTCTGTTCCTCACCCCAAGCTACTAAATTTCCTCCCCAAATATATGGTTCATTTCTTGTGATTTCATTCATGGTTACTTTATGAATATATATATACAGACACATCCAAACAAAGAGGCTACATTTGTAGTCTACTTGTACATTTTACAAACGTTGTCCTAGTGAAATCATATAATTATCAGCTTTAATTACTGAGTTAATCAAACTCAGGTTGTTAGCTCTAGAGAACAAAAGGAGGACCGAGAGAGATTGGGGGAAAGGTTGGGAAGTAGAAAAAGAGAGGAAGGGAAGGAGAAAAAGTACTGGTAAGGATGTTTTGGGTGTCTTTATAAATGAATAACGAATGGGGGGCTGGCAAGATCGCCAAATAGGAACAGCTCCAGTCTGCAGCTCACAGCGAGAACAAGGCAGAAGGCAGGTGATTTCTGCATTTCCAACTGAGGTACCCGGTCCATCTCACTGGGACTGGTTAGACAGTGGGTGCAGCCCATGGAGGGCAAGCAGAAGCAGGGTGAGGCGTTGCCTCACCAAGGAAGCACAAGGGGTTAGGGAACTCCCTCCCCTAGCCAAGGGAAGGCATGAGAGACTGTGCCATGAGGGATGGTGCTATCCAGCCCAGATACTATGCTTTTACCCCAGTCTTCGCAACCCGCAGACCAGGAGATTCCCTTGGGTGCCGACGCCACCAGGGCCCTGGGTTTCAAGCACAAAATGGGGCAGCCATTTGGGCACACACTGAGCTAGCTGCAGGAGGCTTTTTTTTCATACCCCAGTAGTGCCTGGAACACCAGCAAGACAGAACTGTTCACTCCCTTGGAAACGGGGCTGAAGCCAGAGAGCTGAGTGGTCTTGCTCAATGGATCCCACCCCATGGAGTCCAACAAGCTAAGATCCACTGGCTTGAAATTCTCACTGCCAACACTGCAGTCTGAAGTCGACCTGGGACACTCGAGCTTGGTGGGGGTAGGGGTGTCTACCATTACTGAGGCTTGAGTAGGCAGTTTTCCCCTCACAGTGTAAACAAAACCGCTGGGAATTTCGAACTGGATGCAGAACCCACCACAGTGCCAGTCTGCTTCTCTAGATTCCTCCTCTCTGGGCGGGGCATCTCTGAAAGAAAGGCAGCAGCCCTAGTCAGGGGCTTATAGATAAAACTCTCATCTCCCTGGGACAGAGCACCTGGGGGAAGGGGCAGCTGTGGTTGCAGCTTCAGCAGACTTAAACGTTCCTGCTTGCTGGCTCCGAAGAGAGCAGAGGATCTCCCAACACAGCACTAGAGCTCTGCTAAGGGACAGACTGCCTCCTCAAGTGGGTTCCTGACCCCCGTGCCTCGTGACTGGGAGACATTTTCCAGCAGGGGTCGACAGACACCTCATACAGGAGAGCTCTGGCTGGCATCTGGCAGGTGCCCCTCTGGGATGAAGCTTCCAGAGGAATGAGCAGGCAGCAATCTTTGCTGTTCTGCAGCCTCTGGTGGTGATACTCAGGTAAACAGGGCCTGGGGTGGACCTCTAGCAAACTCCAGCAGACTTGCAGAAGAGCGGCCTGACTGTTAGAAGGAAAACTAACAAACAGAAAGCAATAGCATCAACATCAACAAAAAGGACACCCACCTAAAAACCCCATCCGAAGGTCACCAACATCAAAGACCAAAGGTAGGTAAATCCACGAAGATGAGGAAAAGCCAGCACAAAAAGGCTGAAAATTCCAAAAACCAGAATGCCTCTTCTCCTCCAAACGATCGCAACTCCTCGCCAGCAAGGGAACAAAACTGGATGGAGAATCAGTTTGACAAATTGACAGAAGTAGGCTTCAGAAGGTGGGTAAAGACAAACTCCTCCAAGCTAAAGGAGCATGTTCTAACCGAATGCAAAGAAGTTAAGAACCTTGATAAAAGGTTACAGGAACTGCTAACTAAAATAATGAGTTTAGAGTAGAACATAAATGACCCGATGGAGCTGAAAAACACAGCACGAGAACTTCATGAAGCATACACAGGTATCAATAACCGAATCAATCAAGCAGAAGAAAGCATATCAGAGATTGAAGATCAACTTAATGAAATAAAGCATGAAGACAAGATTAGAGAAAAAAGAATGAAAAGAAAAGGAATGAACAAAGCCTCCAAGAAATATGGGACTATGTGAAAAGACCAAGCCTACATTTGATTGGTGTACCTGAAAGTGATGGGGAGAATGGAACCAACTTGGAAAACACTCTCCAGGATATTATCCAGGAGAACTTCCCCAACCTAGCAAGGCAGGCCAACATTCAAATTCAAGAAAGACAGAGAACACCACAGAGAAACTCTTCAAGAAGAGCAACCCCAACTAGGCATTGATGGAATGTATCTGAAAATAATAAGAGCTATTTATGACAAACCCACAGCCAGTATCATACTGAATGGGCAAAAGCTAGAAGCATTCACTTTGAAAACCAGCACAAGACAAAGATGCCCTCTCTCACTGCTCTTATTCAACATAGTATTGGAAGTTCTGGCCAGGGCAATCAGGCAAGAGAAAGAAATAAAGCGTATTCAAATAGGAAGAGAGGAAGTCAAATTGTCTCTGTTTGCTGATGACATGAGTGTATCTTTAGAAAACCCCATCATCTCAGCCCAAAAACTCCTCGAGCTGATAAGCAACTTCAGCAAAATCTCAGGATACAAGATCAATGTGCAAAAATCACAAGCATTCCTATACACCAATTATAGACAAACAGAGTGCTAAATCATGAGTGAACTCCTATTCACAATTGCTACAAAGAGAATAAAATACTTAGGAATCCAACTTACAAGGGATATGAAGAACCTCTTCAAGGAGAACTACAAACCACTGCCCAAGGAAATAAGAGAGGACACAAACAAATGGAAAAACATTCCATGCTTATGGATAGGAAGAATCAATATTGTGAAAATGGCCATATTGCCCAAAGTAATTTATAGATTCAATGCTATTCCCATCAAGGAACCATTGACTTTCTTCACAGAATTAGAAAACTACTTTAAATTTCATATGAAACCAAAAGAAGCCCGTATAACCAAGACAATCCTAAGCAAAAAGAACAAAGCTGGAGGCATCACACTACCTGACTCCAAACCATACTACAAGGCTACTGTAACCAAAACAGCATGGTACTGGTACCAAAACAGATACATAGACCAATGGAACAGAGGAGAGGCCTCAGAAATGACACCACACATCTACAACCATCTGATCTTTGACAAACCTGACAAAAACAAGCAATGGGGAAAGGATTCCCTATTTCATAAATAGTGTTGGGAAAACTGGCTAGCCATATGCAGAAAACTGAAACTGGACCCCTTCCTTACACCTTATACAAGAATTAACTCAAGATAGTTTAAATATTTAAACATAAGACCTAAAACCATAAAAACCCTAGAAGAAAACCTAGGCAATACCATTCAGGACATAGGCATGGGCAAAGACTTCATGAATAAAACACCAAAAGCAATGGCACCAAAAGCCAAAATTGACAAATGGGATCTAATTAAACTAAAGAGCTTCTGAACAGCAAAAGAAACTACCATCAGAGTGAACAGACAACCTACAGAATGGGAGTAAATTTTTGCAATCTGTCCATCTAACAAAGGGCTAAATCCAGAATCTACAAGGAACTTAAACAAGTTTACAAGAACAAAACAACCCCATCAAAAAGTGGGTGAAGGATATGAACAGACACTTCTCAAAAGAAGACATTTATGTGGCCAATAAACATATGAAAAAAAGCTCATCATCACTGGTCATTAGAGAAATGCAAATCAAAACCACAATGAGATACCATCTCATGCCAGTTAGAATGGCGATCATTAAAAAGTCAGGAAACAACAGATGCTGGAGAGGATGTGGAGAAATAGGAACGCTTTTACACTGTTGGTGGGAGTGTAAATTATTTCAACCATTGTGGAAGACAGTGTGGTGATTCCTCAAGGATCTAGAACTAGAAATACCATTTGACCTAGCAATCCCATTACTGGGTATATATCCAAAGATTATAAATCATTCTACTAAAAAGACACATGCACACATATGTTTATTGCACCACTATTCACAATAGCAAAGACTTGGGACCAACCAAAATGCCCATCAATGTTAGACTGGATGAGGAAAATGTGGCACGTATATACCATGGAGTACTATGCAGCCATAAAAAAGGATGAGTTTCATGTGCTTTGCAGTGACATGGATGAAGCTGGCAACCATCATTCTCAGCAAACTAACACAGGAACAGAAAACCAAACACCGCATGGTCTCACTCGTAAGTGGGAGTTGAACGATGAGAACATATGGGCACAGGGAGGGGAACAACACACACTGGGGCCTGTCAGGAGTTCGGGGGAAAGGAGAGGAATAGCATTAGGAGAAATACCTACTGTAGATGATGGGTTGATGGATGCAGCAAACCACCATGACACATGTATACCTATGTAACAAACCTGCATGTTCTGCATATGTATCCCAGAACTTAAAGTATAATAAAAATAAATAAAATAATAAAAGAATAACAAATTATGAATTTCATCATTTTAATGCAATTATAAAATACTTTTTCTGTCACTATTTGGACATATAAACTATTATCAATGACTAATGAAAGTAATTCTAGCTTACATAATTTTTTAAAAATTGTTTTGAGTTCTATATAACAATTTAGGTACATATTTTTTCATCTCATATAAGGTAGTGCAATGAAAACAGTTCCATATAAACAAAATTGAGTATTTTTTAAAAAATCACATGATATCTATTTGGAAGAGAAGTAGTTTTAGTTACATTGCAAATGAGCTTGAACCATTTCTGAAAAGTTATTTGAATAGGAAATCTGTAAAGATCTATACCAAAATATTAACAATAGTGACCTTTTGGTAGAGGAATTATAGGACATTTTTAATGTATTCTTGTAACTTTGGGCTTGATTTTTTTCTTTAATATAATACAATGAATGTGCATTATTATGTAATGATAAAAATTTTGAAACTATTCACATTTGAAGAAAAAATGAAACAATAATATGTTTTAAAACCAGTTATACTCTGCTAACCCCAAAGAAATGTTTTCCTGTAGCTATGGAAGGTTTGGCTTTGCTTGATCTGGCCCTCAGATCAGGTAACTCTTAAGAAATCCAGTGAAATCAGGAGGTTGTAGTGAGGAATCCCTGTGGATTGTAGTTTAGAGCTCAGTTTGTGGTTAACCACTGATTAATAGTCTAGGTCCCAGGGTCAAAATTTTCTACTGTGTACAGCTCTTTCCACCCTTATTTGGTTATATGGCAACTCTAAATATGATAGACAGGAGAGGTGCATCAATGTTTTCCTGAAAGTTTTGTCAGTTTTAGAGGAGGTTTGTACTCAACAGCAAGATTAGTGAGCAGTCTTCAGGAAGTTTATTTAAGAAAACATTTAAGCATAAATATAACATTCGACCTTGAAATAATATTATTCTAGTGTTCTGAAGCCAAAATAAGGTTAATTTTGTTTATACGATTTTATCTAGAGTTCTGGCTTTTGCAAGTGCCTGATGGTCTGCATACTAATTACATGCAAAATAGAAAAGGGTCTATCCCACTGAAAAAGTTTATAGTTCTTTAAACATTATTTTAATATTTGTGTGATTTTAGGGTTGAATTTAAAGTTGCATTACAACCATTGGATAATGCTGGTGTAGATGCTTACAACAATCTTAAATGTGATTCATAAATGGGATATACAAAAATATAGATCTCCAGTGTAACTGCTGAAGCGTACGGCTTCCATTTGGGAGTAGTGTCAGTATTTTGACAGATCTCAATGGAAGGTTGATAACCTATTTCTATTTTTAGAGATCACTAAATTGATGTCTGAGAAAGGAAATCAGGATGATGGGGTTACTTGTAGCTTCTGAGGACCAGGCTAATGACTTTTATAGGGTCAATGCTCCCATATGTTCTTCAAAATGGAACCCTTCATGCCCAGGCCAGTGGCTGGCCCAACAACACTTAATTCACTTGGTTTCCCTTGGAAACTATTTTGTAGAAAATAATCAAAGATGATGTTTCCTAATCCCTTTGTTAAGTCATTATCATCCTGATACTATAAAGAATTAGTTCAATTTTGATTTGTCAAAATATAGATGTAAAAATTCCTTTGCCATTGTGAATTGAATCCAGGAGCATTAAAAACATCTGGTAGTATTATATGCTGTTTCACTAGCCCATACAATTTATTTCAGGAATGCAAAATGTTTCAATATTATGAAACATTTCATTACAGAAAATTACCAAACAATTATATGTAACTGTATGATTGTTTACCCTGAAAATCCAAGGAATATACTGAAAAATAATTAGATATTATAAAGTTAACATTTGAAAATTGTATAGCTTTACTGCAGTCTATACATAATTAGTAAGAAATATATTAGAGAAAAGATCCCATTACAATACTGAAACATCTTCACTAAATTCAACAATGATATTTAGGATGCAGGTGAAAAATATATCAAAAGTTTAATGAGTCATTAAAAAGCACATGAACAAATGCAGACATAGCATGTCAAATCTTCCCGAGTTAATTAAAATGCCATTCCAATTGTAATCGCAGAAGAATTTGGGGGAAAACAGGGGAAAACATGAAAAAGAAATTCTAAAATACATCTTAAAGATAAATGTAGGAAAATAGTTAAGACCATTTGAAAGGAAAAAAAGTGATGAGAGGAGACTTTCAATACCAGGTATTCATTAGTCACTATGAATAGAGTCTACAATCATGACTCATTATGATTTGAATCTACCATCAGGGAACTGAAGGAGTGCTAGTGGTTACAAACTTGGTGCTTCCTCTTTGATTTCTGATGTCTTCCCTGGCTGTTACACCTCTCAGTTGTTCCTTTGGAAACCTCTTTTCCATGGTAAACAGTCTCTTAGAGAGTCACCATTTCACTGAAGGTTTCCTTGGCGTCATTGCCAAAATTAAAATGTTGCTTCTCCAGGAAGACACCATAACCCTCTCGTGTATGAGTGTGTGAGTGTGTGTGTGTGTGTCTGTGTCTGTGTCTGTGTGGCAGGAGGTTGGGGGTATAAAAGGGTGGCACTGATGGTGGTGCTACTTGTCCTACCATGGTTCATGATCTTTAAATCCCAGGTGATATGGTTAGGTTTTCTGTCCCCACTCAAATCCCATCTTGAATTGTAATCTCCATAATCTCCACGTGTCAAGGGAGAGACCAGGTAGAGGTAATTGAATCGGGGAGGTGGTTTCCTCCATGCTGTTTTCATAACAGTGAGTGAGTTCTCATGGGATTTAATAATTTCATAAGGGGCTCTTCCTCCTTCACTTGGCACTTCTCCTTCCTGCCACCTTGTGAAGAAGGTGCCTGCTTCCTCTTTGCCTTCTGCCACACTCATAAGTTTCCTGAGGCCTCCTCAGCCATGCTGAACTATGAGTCAATTAAACCTATTTCCTTTATAAATTACGCAGTCTCAGGAAGTCCTTTATAGCAGTATGAAAATGGACTAATACACCAGGTGTAGTTAGTTTTCTCTGAACATCTAGTGCCACTTCAAGGACACCATTTTTCCATCTGCAGCCTTTAATCCTGCTCTTTGGGGACTCATGTCATCCAGTGATAACTTGTTCTAACATCTCTCCAATGCTGCCATCCACCAACTTCTTGAGCACATCTGTAATCCTGTTATCATCCTAGATATTAACTAGATTTATAAAAATCAAATTTGGTCAGCCATTCATCTTATAACCCTTCAGAATCTCCCAGGGGTAGGAGAAAGAATGCCAGTGGAAAAGTAGTGTGTCTTCTAGGAGGATCCCAGGTTTGGACTGAGGGATTCAGTAATACATAGGCCTCTGTAATGCACTGACAGGCAGGGCATTCCTGCCATGCTTGTTTAGTTATGACACTGAGGAACCCCTGGGGAAAGAACCTTGAGGCTGTGTCTTCTACTTAATTTCAGATGCAACTTGGAATGTCTCACCTCTACAAAGAGGAGTGATATGATTTGGCCATGTCCCCACCTGAATCTCATCGTGAATTGTAGTTCCTGTAATCCCTACACGTCATTAGAGGGACCTGGTGGGAGGAAACTGAATCATGGGGGTAGTTACCTCCATGCTGTTATCATGATAGTGAGTGAGTTCTCAGGAGATATGATGGTTTTGTGAGGAGCTTTCCCCTGCTTCACCATGCACTTCTCCTTGCTGCCACCATGTGAAGAAAGACGTGTTTGCTTCTTTTCCACTATGATTGTTAAGTTTCCCGAGGCTTCCGCAGCCATGCTGAACTGTGAGTCAATTAAATCTCTTTCCTTTATAAATTACCCAGTCTCAGGTATGTCCTCACAGCAGTGTGAGAACAGACTAATACAGTATATTGGTACCTAGTAGTGGGGACTGCTGTAAAGATATCCAAAATGTGAAAGTGACCTTGGAACTGGCTAACAGGCAGAGGTTGGAACAGTTTGGAGGGCTCAGAAGAAGACAGGAAAATGTTTGGAACTTCCTAGAGACTTGGAGTGCTCAGAAGACAAAGATATGGGAAAGTTTGGAACTTCCTAGAGACTTGTTGAATGACTTTGACCAAAATGCTGACAGTGACATGGACAATAAAGTCCAGGCTGAGGTGGTCTCAGAGGGAGATGAGGAACTTGTTGGGAACTAGAGCAAAGGTGGCTCTTGTTATACTTTAGCAAAGAGACTGGTGGCATTTTGCCCCTGCCCTAGAGATCTGTGGAACTTTGAATATGAGAAACATGATTTAGGGTATCTGGCAGAAGAAATTTCTAACCAGCAAGTGTTCAAGAGGAAGCAGAGCTTAAAAGTTTAAAAAATTTGCAGCTGATGATGCAACAGAAAAGAAAAACACATTTTAGGGGAGAAATTTAAGCCAGCTGCAGAAATTTGCATCAGTAATGAGGAGCCAAGTGTTAATCACCAAGACAATGGGGAAAATGTCAACAGGGCATGTCAGAGACCTTCATGGCAGCCCCTCCCATCACAGGACTGGAGGACTAGGAGGGAAAAATGATTTAGTGGGCCAGGCCTAAGGCCTCATGCTCTGTGCAGCCTCAGGACATACTGCCCTGTGTCCCAGCTGCTTCAGCTCCAGCTGTGGCCAAAAGAGGCAAATACACAACTCAGGTCATTATTTTAGAGAGTTCAAGCCCCAAGCCTTGGCAGCTTCCAAATGGTGTTGGACCTGCGGGTGTACAGAAGACTAGAATTTAAGTTTGGGAACCTCCACCTAGATTTCAGAGGATGTATGGAAACGCCTGGATGTCCAGGCAGAAGTTTGCTGCAGGGGCGGAAACTTCATGGAGAAGCTCTGCTAGGACAGTGCAGAAGGGAAATGTGGGGTCAGAGCCCCCACACAGTGACCCCACTGGGGCACTGCTGAATGAAGCTGTGAGAAGAAGGGCACTGTCCTCCAAACCCCAGAATGGTAGATCCACCAACAGCTTGCACTGTGTGCCTGGAAAAGCCACAGACACTCAACGCCATCCTGTAAAAGCAGCTGGGAGGGAGGCTGTACCCTGCAAAGCCACAGGGGAGCTGCCCAAGGCTGGGGGAGACCACCTCTTGCATCAGCATGACTTGGATGTGAGACCTAGTGTCAAAGGAGATCATTTTGTAACTTTAAGGTTTAATGATTGCCCCGCTGGATTTTGGGTTTGAATGGGGCCTCTAGCCCCTTTGTTTTGGCCAATTTATCCCCTTTGGAATGGGTGTATTTACCCAATGTCTGTACCCCCATTTTATCTAGGAAGTAACTAACTTGCTTTTGGTTTTGGTGGCTCATTGGTGGAAGGGACTTGCCTTGTCTCAGATGAGATTTTAGACTTTGACTTTTGGGTTAATGCTGGAATTAGCTAAGACTTTGGGGGACTGTTGGAAAGGCATGATTACGTTTTGAAATGGAAGGACATGAGATTTGGAGAGGAGCCAGGGGCAGAATGATATGGTTTGGCTGTGTCCCCACCCAAATCTCATCTTGAGTTTTAGTTCCCATAATCCACACGTGTTATGAGAGGGACCTCGTGGGAGGTATTAATAATGGTTATCTCCATGATGTTCTCATGATAGTGAATGAGTTCTCACAAGATCTGATGGTTTTATAAGGGACTTTTCCCCCACTTCACTCTGTACTTCTCTTTGCAGCCGCCATGTAAAGAAGGACGTGTTTCCTTCCCCTTTTGCCAGTTGTAAGTTTCTTGAGTCCTCCCCAGCCGTGCTGAACTGTGTGTCAATTAAACCTCTTTCCTTTATAAATTACCCAGTCTCAGGTATGTGCTTATAGCAGCATGAGAACGGACTAATACAGTGAGAGTAACTGAGTTCTATGATACTGTGAGCAACTATAAGTAACTGCTGAAAAAAGTGTTTCACTAAACAGTATAACTCATTGGAGCCCGGGCTTTGGAAACCCACCAACTGAGAATACACAAAGGGACAGAATAAGGCTCTGCACAGACAGTTGTGCAGATTTGGGACCATGAGGGCATGTATCAGGCAGAACCATGGGAGACAGTCACCATGATTAGTGCCTGGGGCGGCTGCAGCATGTGTGCTCTTAGACAGGCAACAAGAAATCAGAGGTAGCAGTGTGTGCTGGAACAGCTCTGAGCCCATGGGAGTGGGCTTGTCCCAGAGCCCCTGTTTGGGAGGACCTATCATACTTACACAGAGTTACAGTTCCAACATGAGCAGATGAGGAACAGAGTCAGGGTAAAGAGGGTCACATATATTGTATTTAAAGTTTCTGTATGTCTCTCTTCCCTACTCTTAGTGACTAGAAATCTAAACATAGAGCTTAGCACAGGAGCTGGAATGCATTGCATGCTCAATACATTTTAGTTAAACTGGCAAGTATATTTTGTCTTACATTATTGTGTTCTTGTCTAGATTAAGGGTGCAAATTCCTTTGTAGATAGCTTTCTAGAACTTGATGGCAAAATATAAATTAAAAGCTGAGTACAAGGAGAATTCAATACTGAGATAGAAGAATAGGAAAATTCACATTGCAGATTAAAATGAGGTTTAAACTACTATTCCCTAAAATGTTTATGGTGAAATAAGGTAGTTCTATATAAACCCCAATCTTACATAAATCCAGTGACCATAAATGTGGTCCTAATACTTTTAATTGTGTGAGATTAAAATCAGGAATGTAGATTTAAAACAGAACTATGTACCAAAGGGCTAATTGAGTCTCTATGTAGAAGAAAGGAGTTTTTGTTTTTATTGTATATACTTATTTTTAATTGTTATAGTGAAAAAGAATTCATGGAATCCTTTTGTAATGAAAAAGTATAAGAGAAACAAAATGATTCTGTATCTTGTAGAATTAAAATTTAATGATTTTTTTTCCATGTAATATCCATCTTTCAATCTTCAGAGTTGTCTGTGTCAGGAAACACATGGAGTAATTCAGATATGGTCCCTACCCTCAAGGGGACTATATAAAGACACATGACTAAGATACTTGAAGTAAGAACAAGAATGAAATGACTTCAAAGACATTGTCTGAGACTAGCTCCCCAAGGTCAGGCACCATGTTGTTTCCATGTTATGAATAGTTCCTTAGTACATTCAAAAGACTTAGTGCTAATTTATGGTGGGCAAGATCATCTGTTCACACAGCTATTATTCCTTTGAACGTATGTGTAAAATTCAGTGTCCAGCATTGCTGTCAAACTGCTGTTTCTGAGTCCCTGAGATTCAAAATATTACCTTATTTTACTTACTCTTATAGGCTCTAAACTGGAGAAAAAGGAATTAGCTACATTTTTAAGGCTTGGAAATGTTATTCCGGTGAAAGATGTTTGATACCTGTACAGTAAGGAGCAAATTGCTCCTTTCCTTTGATCTCATGGGTGGAAATGTGCCCATTTGGGTCCTTTCCAAAATCAGAGAGCCATTTGGGGTTATTAAAATCCAACTAAAGGGTCGACTGGAATGTGACTTTGAAAGAAAGCTGCTTGCAATACACGTTAGGTTACCTTTGAAGCATAATAATAATAGTAAACAACAAAATGAGCCATTAGAAAACATCAGTGAAAGATTTAGGCCTTGACACAGAGACAAAAGGCCTCAGATGTTTGTATACCATGGTTACCTTAATCAGAAACAAATTCTAATGGCTTGATACATCAAATGCTTCTCTAAATTTGGGTGCAGATGACTTGACCACTGAAAAAGAGACAGGTATATCTAAGAGGAAAGGAGCTACTACATGTGGTTAATAATACATACATGTGTGATTTGGCAAATGTTTGTAATATGTTAAATATGAGTGTTAAAGGACAATTTTTATTTTGCCACTTTGAAGTAACTCCTCTTTACTTTTGTGTTTATTTTCTTTTTGTGAATTTGCTACATTGAAGTACGTTTTAAAGTAGGAAGAGATAGTGAAGGACAATTTATCTCCATGCTGCATGACAATCTGTTTGATCAGCATTGTTCCATAAGTCTTATAAGAAAAATGGTTTTTCTCACAGCAATGTTCACATTTGATTAAGTTACATGTAAGACTTTCAAGACTTTCAAGTAAAAATTACAGTGTTTCAAAGACAAATATTTTAAATATACTGACTATAGAAATTTAGGAAAACAATTTTGGAGCTAAATGGAGTTTTATAAGTATAAGATCTTATAGGCTATTAAATGATCACACTTTTCTGTGACTCAGTGTAGCAAGAATTGAAATTCTGTGCTTTGGGTTGTAGACATAACATTTACTTTTTTATAGTTTCCTTATATGGTAAGGGATCTGCCAGTTTATAATTATAGATCTTTCCACATCTCTACACCATTAAAAACGTGGGTACAGAGACATTTTAGAAGGCATACAAATGGTCACAATTCAACTTGACTGGATTTGGCCTATGGGAATTATAAGACTTCCCAAACGAACAAAAAATTGTTTGAATTATGAAACCAAACTTAACATTGCAACTTTCACTATTAAATGTAGGTAATTTCAACACTCAAAATTGATTTCACATAAACCATCATCAGAACGTGTGTATTGCCATATCAATTAACTGCTGATTCTAAAAATAACTTTGAATTTCCAAAAAGCCAGTACAAAAGGGAAGTCTTGGTGAACTGGAAAGGTGTCAGGCAGATTACAAACAAATACCTTTCTTAAGATTGATCTTGACCTGAATAACCCACAAAGAACTTCTGATGTGGTTCCAGATCCACAGAATAAAATAGAAAACAATTTTTATGGTGCAAGTGTTCCAAAATTGTCCTATACTGGATTAGAGGATGCTCTGATTACAAATATGTTTCATCATGGATGGGGTCTGAAGAGGAGACAGGGTAATGGCTTTCTGAGGCTGGAAAACATGAGATTGGCCAGGCAAATGTGTTAGTCTTAAGACAAATGTATACTGTTGAAGTACTTTTTGTTGGATGTAGTCATTCTGCAGATGGCATTCAATCCAAGATCCAGTCACCAAATTATGACCAGCTGAAAAAGTAGCCTAAGAATTCACAAAAGTGGAATAAAAATAACGTGACAAACAATAGCTAGAAGTTAGTCCTTATAACTCATAATTTCACTTCAGGACATCATGCAATTTTGACAGATAATAGGGAATTCTTTCATTTCATCCCTTTGCCCCCAAATATTTAATTATGGCCACATGAAATAAACTGTGTTTTGATTGAAGGGAATCCAACTTCTGAATCTGTCAAAGATGCTGGGGATTAGGGGGCAAGACTAAAACTTTCTTTAGGAATGAGTTTTGTTTTGTTTTGGTGTTTCCAGATTTGCAGTCAGCATATTGTCTGTCCCCCACCCTTCCTCTAATCCCCAGCCCTTCTTACTCTGACAGCTGAGGCTTTGTAACTCCTGCCCTTGGACAACGCTGAGCGTTGGCTCTGGGAACAAATTCTGCTCTGAGGTGCGGAGACTGATTGTAAGGAGCTCCAGACCAGAAGTTTACCAGTTTAATATTAAACTGTTGGTTCTATCTTACAGTCTCATGCAGTTCCCCAGACACTAAATTCCCCTGTCTTAAACTCAATTTCCCAAGTGGCTGAATATCTATGTTGCTGAGTTTTTACACTATTGGAATGACCTGTACTAGTCTTAGCATAAGCTAATTCCTCTTTTGCTCTATTTAGATGTGCATCTTGGGTCTTGGAATCTATTGGACGTTAACACACAGGTATTTGTTTCTATCTAACGCTCTTGAACTTAAATATTTTATTTAAGATTAAGGCACTAAATGTTACACAATTTGTGTGGGGACTAACATTTCCAACTGATGACTTCACTGTATTAATTTGCTCAGCACCACTCTGGCCTTTTCAAAGAAGATCTTCCGGTGGGTCATTCAGTTTCATGTCAGAAGAGCTCTCCAGCCTCCTGTCTGAGGGACCCTCTGCCTGACTGTGGAATGCTAGGAGGTCTAGGGAAAAGTTCAGGGCTCCTCCCTTCACACGCCAACTTTACCTTCATCTTTCTGTTTTCAGCCTCTAGATTAATTTATTCTTTACTATACTTGTGTTTCTGAGTCCAGACTTTCTGCAGTTCCATTTTAAAAGATATTGTATGTGATGATATAGATTCCCAACTGTATGGGCTGGGGTAAGGAACTCAGGGGTCTACCAATTTTGCACATAGACTTCTAGCCAATTGTTTTCTGACCTGTGTCTCAGCCTTATCTTTTTCAGCATAGGATCTGAACAGCAAGTATGCCTCACTCACAGCTAGTATTTCTCTTCTCTCGGCACTTTCAGTTGTACCTTATTTTGCCTGCTAAGTCAAACTTCATAGAATGAATTCAAATGAATTCAGATTTCTTGTCTGTTATGAGTTATTCTGTTTTTTCTTTGTGGCGGGGGGTGGGGAGTGAGTGAGTAGCTTTATGTCTTTAAAGTATTTTTCTTGGGGTTTCAAGTGGAAGGGAAGATAAATGCTTGTGGTCAATCTGCCTCATTTAGTCTGTACTTCATGCATGATTTTTTAGACCTTATCCTTATGCCAATTTTCTCAAAGTGTGTTTAGTGGGGTGTTAATAGTTGTGATAAAAAAAATAAGGAAAAGTCATTCTGTGGTCAAAAATGCTGGGGAAAAACTGGGTCACACTAAGCTAACCAGCTTCTTTAGTGTAAGAACTTTTGGGATTATTTAATATACTAATATTATTATCTGAGAACCCATAAGGTGGAGGTGTATTCAGTATTTCTCAAAAAACAAAACCTGTTTTCACCAAATTAGAACATTAAACCTTAATGTAGGAAATGGTAATCAAAATAGTTCAAACTCTGGCTTAGCTTGGTTCTTAAAGGCTAGTAATAAACTCCCTGACATGGGGGTTTATTGCAAAGAACATGAAGGAGTTTATGAGTCAGCATCTCTTTTTTAGTCACACTGACATTCTAGGTTTCAGTATTGAAAAGGCTGGGTAGTATAGCTGCCTTATGGAGTCATAATAGTAGTTCAACATAAGTTACTTTCACTGTTTGTTGACCCTCCATTTAATTATCCTTCTTAAGAGAGAGACCTTGATTTAATTGGTGTTACAACCATTCAATATAGGGTACTCCCTTTGAAACAGGATTTTGTATCAAGTCATCTCAGAAAAGGCTGGGCTCCCTCATGACCAGTGAATTTATTCTCACTGGGCACTGATCTCTAATCTAATCAGCTAGTAGCAGAGGATAGAATTCACTTACAGATGATTGAATGAGCACTAATCATTTTACACAGAAAGAACTGTTTGAAACTACATTTCTAAAAAAGGAGTGTAGGAATCTGTGACTCATCTTCAGCACAGGGTCATTGAAAGATTTTTAAATGACAACACCGAATGTGAAGTATAGGAACATTCTCCTGGTGGGGGGTAAGAAGTACGGATTCAAGTAGTTGACACTGGAGGCTCTGAGATAAAAATATTGCAATAGCTGAGGGCAAAGAAATGATAGAGAAGGAGAGACCCTCCTCCCCACCTTGTTCATTTGCCACCCCACACACTATTTACCTGAATCCTCAACCTGCTCCTCAGGGGCCTTTCTCCAACTGTCCTTCTTTGTCCTGTATTTTTATTCTGTCTCTTGGTATTGATTATTTCCTCTCTGTTTAAAAACATGCCAAAGTCTTTCCTCCTTTAAATCCAATATTTTTACCCTTTTCTTATTTTTATTTGTTGAAAGCTATTATGAGCCCCCTTTCTCACTTCCTATACCTCTTCAACTATTCTAGTCTAATTCTTGCCCCGACATTTTACCAAAACCACTCTTAAGATGATCAGAAAGGACTCCCCTGCTTCATGCCAAAAACATTATTTTGGAATCCTCACCTTAATAGATCTATCTATTACATTTGACAACACTGACCCTGTCTCCATCTCTCCTTTTCACAAATGGTTACTCTGTGGCTTTCCATGGCTTCACCTTCTACTTGAGTTTTCCCGCTATTAGTTTATGCTCTAAGTTCAAATGCTCCTATTTCTCCAGACTTTGCTTAAATATTGGTGTTTCCAGGAGTTTCTTTCTCAGCCACTCTACTCACTTTCTCTGGATGACGTATTTTCTTTTCTTTTTGGAAGTTAAAAACGTAACCTGCATGACCTCACACATACAGTGGGCACAGGGCAAAGACTTATTTAATTCGCTCAGGGGGAACAGCAGGAGGCAAAGCCGTCTCAGAGGAGGATTCAGGGCTAAGTGCCTACAGCCCTTGAGAGATCGCACAGTGGATTAAGATGGGAAAGAAGAGGTGGGTTGTCGATGACGTGTAGGCAATGCAGCCGTCACCACCTGCCATCTTCTCTGCCACACAGAATACACTTGCACCTCTACCAAAACTCTGCAGTTCACGCAGGATGTCAATGAGTCTGGGCTCTGTGGATGATCTATTTTCATGGTTTCAACTACAACCTATTTTCTGATGACTCCCTGTGCCATCTCTCATCCCTACCAGTCCCTCCAGTGTCATATTTGTATATCCAACTGCCCATTGGAGATCTCCACCTGGATGTCCTACAGGCAACTCAAATACAACATGTTCAAAATTGAACTCATCATCTTTTCCTAATAAGGTGACTTTTCAGTCATTCTTTGTCTCAATTGCCAGTTTCTCTCCCTAATCCATCACTCAAGTTAGGAGTCATCTTTGATTCTTCCCACTCCTGCATGCCACAAATAAGATCTATAGATATCATTTTTTAAAACCAGGCTTGCTTTTGTCCACTTCTCTCTTATACTTACACTTCTCTTTTATACTCTCTGTCCTGGTTTGGGTGGAACTTTACAATCTCTCACCTGACTTCTAGAAAAAAAAAATCTCCTAACTTCTCTAACTTGTTCTTCTTCAAATCTTCCTTGCTCACTGTTATTAGTCTTAACTGTTTGAAACAAAACCATGACCATCTCACTCCTCTCCTGAAAACCTTTCAGTGGGTCTCCATCACCTACAGGATCATCCAGTTCTTACCATGATCTTGCCCTCACCTACTTTTTTCAAATATTCTTTTGTGATTTATGTTCTACTATATACAGGATTGCCTGTGATTATGAGAACATCAGGTATTTCAGAGCTACTTTGGTTCACATTATTCTATGGGATTGCAATGGCCTTCCTTCTACCATTATCTTATTACCTTGATTAAGTCCTGTTCATCCTTCAACAATTAACTTGGATGGTAATTCAAGAAGAAACACTTAATCCTTAGATTGAGTGCCTCTTCTTGGTGTTTCACAATATCTTATTCATATATCTGATGTGCTATCAAAGGTATTGTTTCATAATATGGGTTTTTAGGACTGACCCTGATTGCAATGTCCTGAGGGCATAGAGTACGTCATATTTATTTTTATATTACTACTGTTTAGTTCAAGAACTGGACCACAAAATAAATGTTGAATGATTTAGTAAAAGAATAAACAAGGTCAAGGCAGTTGGAATGTAGTGTAGGAGAAAGACGTGGAAAATATATAGCTTGTAAACAGGATTTGGTAACTGGCTGGTTAAGGGTCGTGAAAGGGCTGGAGAAAGATAAGCAAAAGTCGAAGATAGCTCTAGTTTATAAATGGTAGTGTGATAGAGTAAATTAGGGAATACCAGAGGGGAGGAAAGTTTAAAGGAAATATTAATTCTCCCTCTAAGGATATGCTGATTTTGAGATACTTACGGGAGTCCTATAAAATGCTCTTCTAACTCACTTTACAGCAGTAGTACAATGCTTGCATAGAGTAGATACTCAAAAATATCTATTGAATTAAATTTCCATACTAATTCATTAAAAATAGCCATGCTGAAAGTTAAATTCTGGGTTCTTCTATATCAGCTAACTATGTTAACCATATTTGTATCTTTTTTTTCCCTAAAAGTCATTATTTCAGTTTTTTTTTTTTTACCGGATGAATTTAAAGTTTCTTTCTTTTTAATTTTTAAATTGTGGTTAGATAGTAAACTTGTAAAGTTTAAAGGAGAAAGTAAAACACTTTATTTCTAGGCCAAATAATCTTTTATTTAATTAAGATTATATAATAAAGATTATAGGGTTAAAATTAATTAATAGTGGAAAACCATCTCTGACAAAGAACCAAAACTCCCTTCTTTTCTTCTTTCTATAGTACCAGAATCAAAGGAAACCTGCTGGTATTAGTGGTAGTTTGATGCCAGATGGTTTTTGTTGACTGAGTCAAAAGCTGTAGCTACATTTGCCAAAAAAGGAAGATATTATATAAGGTCTGCATAATTGATTAGACTAATGAATAATAACATATCAGTTGGTTGTGGATTTGTCCCTTCTGCAGCCAGGTTTGTGTTGATAACATTATTGTATTCTTTCCAGGTTTTAGCTTGTTCACAGTAGGTGTTTGCCACATAACCGAAGGCACCATCCAAAACCTCTCTTGGGCAAGAGCTACCTGGATCCTGTTTGTTGTCCTATGTAAACACTAGGAAAACGTAATCCATTTCCACTCATAAAAAGAAACACCTGCTTTTCTAATCAGCAGGAACATGTTAGTCAAAATTGATGCACACCAGTTGGGAAATTGTTTACAGATTCTTGGTGGCAACATATTCTCTTTTGGTGCCTTGACGGATGAAAGAAACACCTCAAGATCTTTCATCTCACCTATGGCAGTGAGAGCTCACTGAAGCAAGTTTGTTATGTCTATGATAGAATTCTAACCACAAACCAAAGAAAAAACATCAATATCTTACTGTAATGATTATACCAACCCTTCTCAGGTATCCTTGAATCTATTGTGGGAATAGTTTAGTTGAACATCAGAAGATAAAAGTCCCCCAAGCCAGAATTTTTATGGTTCTAACACAATTTTTTCAACTCTTGCTAGTATTTTATGGTAAGCTTTATTTGCCAGGCTCATAAGATGAGCACAGAGGTGAAAAAAAGGTTATCAGCAGAATTTTTGCCCTTTAACTTTTTAGACATGAGAGCAGTCACCAACTTTTTTTCTAGCTTGCTGCATTCATTATCAAATGTCCTCTATAAAGAGTTTTAGATTTTTTGGATTGTTTGTAATAAGCTAACATTGCTATTACATCACTGTTAAGATGTTAGGTGATGATTTAGAAAGATTATAAAATGTCAGTGTCAGCACTAGAGACTTGCTGAGGTACAAGGGGTACAAATTGTTCAAGAGTTAAGCAATAATTATGCCTAAGTAATGAATGAATTTAGCGACTTTATGATGAAGGGAGTCAGTTGAGAAAGATGATCATATCAGCTGTATGTTGTGACTGGAACAGCAAATGCTCCCAGAAGCTTATTTTAGCTTAAACATTAAAACTTCAAAATAGATAACACTACTCTGAAATCAATTAAGATAATTTGGCGGAGACCTACATGGCTTGCTATCAAGACAGCCTACATCAGAAATAGAGTTAAGAAAAAGCGAGTTATGTGTGATAATTACACACCAAAAACTATAAAGTCAAATAAGCTAAATGATTTTACCTGAACATGCTTGAAGCATTGTTACTATGCAAGTTAATGATAATTTTAATCAGTAATAATTATAAGCCAATATTCTAGTGCTGATGGTTCAAAAAGCCTTTTTTGTGGTTTCTGAATACCATGGCTATTAATGTGAACTGGTTGATGCTGTGGTATGATACATGTAACCATGTGGGAAGGGCACTTCTGTTTTTAATTGGAGCCATGTTGAAATTATTCGAGGACATTTTGCTTTTTAGACTTTCAGAGCACTAAAGCTAAAAAAAGAAAAGTAGACACCTTTCTGCAAAAATATGAATTGAAGACACATTATGTACAAATAAATAAATAAACAAATAAAAATTCTTTCTAAAAGAGGAACAAAACCAATCTCTATGTTGTCTTTCAAAAGCCCTGTTTTCTGTGGGTTTGGCAACCACTGGCTTGCTTTTTTAGCCAGCTGTGATCCTGGGCTGGCTCAGCTGCAAGATCTTTGCTTCTTTCTCTTCCAGGCTACAGCCCTTGCATTTCTAAGTCTTGACTTTTGCAAATAGGATAAGTACTCTAAACGTTGTATATTTTCTTGTGGAAGACATTAGTAGACACACAGTATCCTACAGCTTAAAATCTGTTCTGCAACAGCATGATCCAGCTTCAAGCTGCTAGGTCAAAATTTAAAATGTCATGTTCTGTACTGTGGCTGCAGGCTTTCACTTCTCTGAAATGCAGTTCCATTTGGTCATATTAAAGGATAATGTAAATCCACCCATAAATCATACAGAGCAACTACTGCAGTGTCAATAACATTTTTAGTATTGGTAAAACTCTTGGGACCAAGATGGATTTTTTTTTTTTCTTTGAGATGGAGTCTTGCTGTGTCACCCAGGCTGGAGTGCAGTGGTGGTGATCTCAGCTCATTGCAACCTCTACTTCCCAGGTTCAAGTGATTCTCCTGCCTCTACCTCCCCAGTAGCTGGGATTACAGGCACACACCACCACACCTGGCTAATTTTTGTATTTTTAGTAGAGACGGGGTTTCACCATGCTGGCAGGCTGGTCTCAAACTTCTGACCTCAAGTGATCCACCCGCCTCAGCCTCCCAAAGTGCTGAGATTACAGGTGTGAGCTACCACACTCGGCCCACCAAGATGGATTCTGACAGTCAGCTAAGGGCTGAAAAACAGAATCAGAAGGAAACTTTAGTTGTCACCTCACGAGTCAACCCACTAATAAATGCATCCTGGTTTACAAAAGAAGGCAAGCCAGAAAGAGTGAATCAATATCTAATAGAAAGATAAAATGAGGCACTATTCATCTCAGTTTCAGCTGAATCTCCTAGAGCAAATAACAGAAGCCAAAAAAAAATCATATTCCAAGAAATTTCTGGACAACCTATACAAGACTTTCAAAAGTATGGACAAAATCCAGTTTTCCATATTCTTGTCTCACCAAAAGAGTTGTGAGACAAAGAGGAAGGACGGGATGGAATTTCTGTGTGAGCTTTCCAATGTTTTGGGGCCCTCTTCCCATTGGGGTGTTGTTTTATTTTTGCCTTAAGCCAAGTGAGAGGAGCCTTCAGCAGAGCCAAGCACATGTCTCTTGGGGTTTGGGAAGCATTAGAACTGGTATGATATACTGTGGCTACAGATCAGCTTTAGGGTGGCAGAGAGAGTGAGAGAGAAAGCTTCACTGGGAACTAACTGTATTTCCAGCAATGACAGAGCAACAATGCATTAATATTTCTGTAGATCAAATATATATATTTCTGTAGTTCAAAGTAGAGCAAGCCTAGTGCTATTTTGAATATTTTTCAAAAGGATGCCTGGAGGAGCAACGTGATCCTCAACAGAGTGATAGACAGTTGGATACCAAGGAGCCAAAAAAGGAATCTACTTGGAGGAGAGGTATTACCGCCATCAAGGAAGTTGGAGCCATAAAGTTCCACTGGTGGGGAGGGGGCTCTCCAAGGCAATTCGTAAAATCACTCAAAAAAAAAAGAAGTAGCATGCTAGACTCAGAGAGCACATCACTGGGTTATGCTTGTACTAGTCAAATAAGACTCTTCTTGTCCTTAGCA
This sequence comes from Homo sapiens, assembly GCF_000001405.40. NCBI lineage: Eukaryota > Metazoa > Chordata > Mammalia > Primates > Hominidae > Homo > Homo sapiens. The sequence continues at coordinate 121,272,304 of NC_000007.14, read as the reverse complement.
TCCCGTCTCTACTCTGACCAACGCAGAAAAATGTAGAAGAATAAAAGTAGAGAAGGAAGATGGGGAAATGGCAAATAAGTGTCCTGCCTTCTCTCCCTTGATTTGGGCTTTTGAGACTGAAGGAAACCTAAGCTGGGGGATGGAAATGACTTATGTAGTTATGACTCAGAATGGGACAATTTTAGTATTGATGTGATACTCCTACACCTGAAGGTGATTGGAGACCTTTTGTTATCTGAAAGTGGTGTTAAACTTATGGGTCCTGACCAAGATTTTTATTCAAGGGTTAGGGAGGAAGTAATCCACAGAAGGTTCAAAAGGACAGGAGAAAAAAGAATAAAATAGTTTTAGGCTATCACCTTATCAGCTTAGCCTATTTATAGGTTAAAATAAAATCATTTTCACTCTGGGTGGGGGGACCCTAACCAAAACACAGGTCTTCCTGTTATGCATTGGACAAGGCAATGAAAGAAGGTCATTCATTAGTTTAGCACATTAAGTAGTCGTGCTTTGCAAGCTGCTGCTACTGAAAACCTTTGCCACCTTTTTTTTGGATGCAATTTCTGATGGGAAGGCTTGAAGTCTATTAGAGAAAATAAGTGCTCTCCAGGTTCCCATATTCCTGCCTCCATTGACCAATTGTTCTAGTTTTGAAGTGTCTAAACAAACATAAATTTTTTAACATCTCATTTGGTAGAGCTAAAGTTGTGGTTACTACATGCCTTGGCTGAATGATGATGAACATATATCATTTAATCTCCACCTGACATTGTTTTTTGTTTCATGCAAAATAAGACTGACAATACAATTAAAGATACAACAAACAATTTTAAAAGATCAAAAGCTATAAAACTCAGATAGCCAGCATAAATACCTCATGGAAATGACATCCACACTTCCCCTGTAGAAACTCTTTGTAACGCCCCATTGTTATAGTGAATGTGTCAACTACTTCATAGCCATGTTTTTTTGCAGTATCCAGAATAATCAAATTTTCTTTCCATAAGTTCTGTACTTCACTCTGATTGGAAAGCAGAAGAATGAGAATTTTTATTACCAGAGGATTGTTTTATGATTCAATAAGTTAGGTGGAAATTATGTAAATGTCTTTTTTACTGGGATTAGTCATAGTGTAAGATAAGGAACTTCACATGCATTTCTTAAATAAAGATGTGTTCTAATTTTTTTTACTCGAAACATACATGTAATCATTTATGTATAAAACAGCAATATCTACAGTGACACACAGTTTTGAACTTCTTCAGTAAAAAGTGGTTAAATTTATTGCCCACAAAGACTCATAAAATATCTAAAATTCTCAATTTAAAAATTAACATTACTGCCGAAAGCAATCTACAGATTTAATGCTATTCCTATCAAATTACAAATGTTATTTTTTACAGAATTAGAAAAAACTATTCTAAAATTCATATGGAACCAAAAAAGAGCCCTAATAACCAAAACATCTTAAACAAAAAGAATAAAGCCAACACATCACATTATGTGACTTCAGGCTATACTATAAGGCTACAGTAACCAAAACAGCATGGTTTTGGTACAAAAACAGACACATAGACCAATGAAGGAGAACAGAGAACCCAGAAAAAAGCCGCACCTATAACCAACTTATTTCAACAAACTCAACAAAAATAAGCAATGGGAAAAGGACCCTCAATAAATAATGCTGGGATAACTGGCTCTCTATATTCAAAATAATGAAACTGGATTCTTACCTCTTACCATATATAAAAATTAACTCAAGATGGATTAAAGACTTAAATGTAAGACCTTAAACTATAAAAATCCTAGGAGAAAACTAGGAAATACCATTTTGGACACTGGCCTTGGCAAAGAATTTATGACCAAGACCTCAAAAACAATTGTACCAAAACCAAAAATTGATAAGTGGAACCTAATTAAACTAAAGAGCTATGCACAGCAAAAGAAACTATCAACAAAGCAAACAGACAATCTACAGAATGGGAGAAAATGTTTGCAAACTATGGATCTGACAAAGTTCAAATATCTAGAATCCATAAGTAATTTAAATCAGCAAGTAGAAAACAAACCCATTAAAAAGTGGTAGACACTTCTCAAAAGAAGATATATGATTTGAATATTTGTCCCCTCCAAATCTCATGTTGAAATGTGAACCCCAGTGTTGGAGGTGAGGCTTAGTGGGAGGTGTTTGGGTCATAGGGGTGGACCTTTCATGAACGGCTCTGTGCCCTCCCCACAGTAATGAGTTCACACAAGATCTGGTTGTTTAAAAGAGTCTGGCACCTCCCGCCTCTCTCTCCTTCTCCCTTTCTCATTATGTCACTCTCGTCATGTGACACACTTGCTCTCCCTTAGCCTTCTGTCATGATTGTAAGCTTCCTGAAGCCTCACCAGAGCAGATGCTGGTACCATGCTTCTTGTATAGTCTGCAGAACAGTGAGCCAAAATACCCCTTTTCTTTATAATTTACCTAGTCTCTGGTATTTCTTTATAGCAATGCAAAGCAGACTAATACAACATACAAGCACCCAACAGACATGAAAAAATGTTCAATGCCACTAATCATCAGAGAAATGCATATCAAAACCACAATGAGATACCATCTCACACCAGTCAGAATGGCTATTATTGAAAAGTAAAAAATTAACAGATGTTTGTGAGGCCATGCAAAACAGGAATGCTTATAAACTGTTGGTGGAAACATAAATTAATTCAACCACTGTGGAAAGCAGTTTGAAGGCTTCTCAAAGAACTAAAAATGGAACTACCATTTGACCCAGCAATCCCATTACTCAATATGTATCCAAAAGAAAATAAATCATCCTACCAAAAAGACATGCATTTCTATGTTCATCACAGCACTATTCACAATAGAAAAGACATAGAACCAACCTAGGTACTCATCAAAAGTGGATGAGATAAAGAAAACATGGTACATATTTACCACAGAATACTATGCAGCCTAAAGAACAAAATCATGTTTTTTGCAGAAACATGGATGCACCTGGAGCCTTCCGTTAGCTAAATAATGCAGGAACAGAAAATCAAATACTGCATCTCCTCACTTATGAGTGGGAGCTGAATATTGAATATGCATAAAGATAGAAACAATGGACACTGGGGTCTACAAGAAGCGGGAGGAAGGGAGAGGACAAAGGGTTGGAGAATTACCTATTAGATACTACGCTTGCTACACTTACTTGTATACCAGGTATTTTTTGAGGGTCTTCTATGTGCTGAGAATTGTATTTGGCATTTGGGCTGTCAGTGTAAGCCATATAAACTCCCTTAACCCACAATTCCCTTGGTGCTCTCACAATTACCATCCAGCAGAGGAGACAGACAGCCAAGGAGTATATGACTGACATGAGTAAGGACATAAGACACTGTTACAGGAGCTCATGGTAGGAGCAGCCAACCCAGTCTAGTGTGTCAAGAGGTTTTCTCTGAGGAACTAGCATGTAAGCTAACATTTGAAGAGTAACTGGAAGTTACCCAGAGGAGGGAGTGGTGGAGGAGTTAACTCCAAGTAGAAGCAGCAGGGATTTATTTCAAAGGTCTGGAGGTGACTGAGAGCATGGTGTGCTTGAGAAACTGAAATATGCTCAGCCTGACTGAGCTCAGTGGTGTTGTGAGTGTGAATGTGTGTGTGTGTGTGCACACACTTGTGTGCACATGCACTGGTAGCAAGGGATAAGTCTACGGAGAAAGACGGAAGCCAGCACTGAATGGCTATATGAGCACATGATGAGAAGTTTGAATTTGTTTTCTGCTTTCACTTGCAATTATCCCCCTTTTCCTTTTTTCTATTCTTTGCCCTTCCTCTTCTTTTCTCCTTCTGTCTTCACTCAGTTTGAAAAGATTGATGAGCACCATCAAAGTTCAGGTGGCAGTCATAATGTTTAACACAATATCTGGCACATAGTAAGTGCTGAAGAAATGTTTGCTGAAATGAATTGATTCTGAACTGTAACCTAAGTATAAGTAAAGGCCACAAGTATGCCAATTACTGTGAGGAGCTGCAACCAAAGGGGCACAGTGGAGCTACTGGAGTCCTCAAGAATGAATTGTGGATCTCGACCTGTAGACTTCAAATAACATTAAAGGGATTCAATCCATGGAAGACATTATCAAAGGTCCCCTCTCCTGATCCCCAGTAGCCTTAAACCCTTTGGCTCTCCCAGATATTAAATGCCTCAACTCATTTTGAATTAACTTAACCCCTGCTAACTCCAAGATGCTGAATTTAGAGGATGTAACTTGGCCACTTCCTACCATTTCTCCTGTTTTTGCATCACAGAAGATCTGCTGTCCAGGCAGATACATTTTTGAGAAAAGAATTGGGGTCTTGTGTTCTGTGCTGGGGAAAGGTAGTAGCACTCAACAGAGACATAAAAATATAAATCTCAACCTCCTTACATATTAAATGGACAGCTTCCTTTCTCCCCAATTCCCAGTGCTCACCAGGGTCATTACTCTGCAATTGCCCAATAATGCTGGCTGCTCCAGAAGTCCCTTCACTTGAGCAAGAGCAGCTGGTTCTCGTCCCTACAGATCCTATCTTTCTTTTCTTTTCTGAGACTTCTATTTAGTGCTGAGGCTAATTTACTATCTTCTATAAGAACTGGCCAGAGACCCCTACTGTTTTCATTGATGAATATCCAATTACAGGAAAAACCAATGATACTACTTCAAAGACTATTTTTAAAATAAAGCAATCATTTGGAAATCATCTTCAAAAAGACCACTCTTTCCCAAAGGACTCATGATAGTGATAATTTTTTTGTGTGGATTCAGCATGAACCTGACAAAAGGAAATCCTTTTAATATAGCCTTTAAAGGTGTATGTAAAATTGGTGGGGTAAGGGAACTTAAAGCACAATCTCTTTTTTTTACTTTCATGAAGGTTGCTCAATATTATATAGTGCCTTACGGGTCTTTTTCCAGCAGGGATCCTTATAGGAATCATGAAATTCACCTAGCCCAGAGGAAATGTGCTTACCTGTGTTAAGAAATGTACTCCATCCACTGGCAGATGAAATCCAATTCCCAAAGTTTTGATGATCACTAGGATATTGAGTAAATTTTCCCTGAATGAGATAATTATAATTCTAAAGTCAGTAACTTTAATTACATTTCTAGATGTTTGTTGTTTATATAAACAAATACCATAGAATTCTTTCAGAATGTGATAATTGGCATAAAAGACTAAATGCTCGTTTTATATATTTGATGTATAATACGGTTTTTTTAAGATAGAGTTTTAGGTGTCAGTAGACACATTTTGATCTGTACTAAATGTAAATCTGGATAATGAACAACCATGTTGTGACTGGATACAAGACTATTTTACTTTATTATTTTAAACTAGACTTTAAGTACTTAATGATAAATTATAAGTTGTTCTTTAAATAAAATCTGGATAAAACTCAGTCACATCCATAGTAACTTTTTTGACTTAGAATACTAATGACAATTATTGTTGCAGACATTTACCTCTTCAAAACTTTGTGAATAATTTGCAGGTGATTGGAATTAAGCCACTGAACACCACCAACAACCAATACAGTCTGGCCAGTATTCTCTAGGGGACGTGATCTGAAATTCAGAAAGAAAAACAACACATGTTGCCCTAAAACAGAAGGTAAACATTGTAACTGCACTGCCTCACATTTCACTGTATCTGGCATCTTGATCATAAGACTCCTTGTACTTTCCAACTTGTTTTCTGCTGCCTTACTTGGTATCTAACCTTTTGAGCACATTTGATGTACAGTGAGTAGTTGAGCAGTGACGACTGCTAGCAGAACATCAGTACTTTGTGGGTTTTGTGTCTTTCATTATAGTTTCATTGTACCTTTGCAAGAGGTGTTCAAGTGCATTTTCAAATGTTGGTCTCAATGAAGGGCTTATCCAGAACTGGGGATAGTAGGAATAACTGATCAAAGTCTTCCCACCATTGACGTTGTGATAGAATTTAGTGCCATGTACTTTCTGCCATTCCTGCAACGTTTCATTCAGCCTTTCAATAAGATAGTACATGATCCCTCTGTTGGTTGAATCTCCAATGAACAGAATCTATAAGTTAAAGAGAAAGCATTTGTTTAAAAGCTTATGTTTACATGGTACAGGAGATAGTTTAAAATAATGAAATTTTGAATATTCACACTACTACCTAACTGTTTGAAGGACAGCCCTTCAAATTGTTAGAAATAACATTCATTATATTCTCTCCCAAACCTGTTCCTTTTCATCTCTTCCATATTCTTAGTAATGCCATCACCTACTGACCCACTTACTCATATTTACCACTTGTTTCAGGTTATCTTCAATTTTTCTATCTCCCTTATGCTCTTTATTTCTCGTTTAAGCATCTTAACAAGTTCTATTGATTCAAATAGACATGAAGCATTTTAGTGCTCTAGGAATACTTAGGGATTTTCCAATCTCTTTATTTTACAGATGTGCAAACAGAGAATTCACAGAGGTAGCTCAATAGAGGTCGTGTCTACTTGACGAAAGAACCACAGAACCAGAATCTAATTTTCTGAACAGCGGTGCATGTCCTAGGGTGCCTATCCCAGTGCCATTTCCTCTCCAATGAAGCCTCTTACCCACATCCCCTCCTGCTCATTCCCAGCAGCACTGTTCAGGCTTTCACTGCCTCAAACCTGCACTAGTGTAATGCTCTCCTACTGGGTCTCCCTTCCTGTACAATGGCTGTCTTTTAATTCATTCTACACACAATATTGCTGCAATAAATTTCCAAATGTCTAGTTCTGGCTATCTCATTTGTGTGCTCAAAAACTTTACTGGTTCCTTGTTTCTTACATAATCCTACAGGTTCCTCTCACATATACTGTTTTTATTGCATACCAGTCTTTGTTAGGTGGAGATTTCACACATAGTCCTCACTTTTAATCTTTAGAATTGTGAGGTTTGATTCAGTATCTCCTTTTCACAGATGAGGAATTTGAGGGTCAGGAAGATGGAGGACATAAATCTACTAAATGGAGAACCCAGGATTCAAACCCACGTACTTTAACTCCAAATGCAAGGTGAATGGCCCCATCCTCTTAATGCCTCCCTTTATGTAAGCATGTTAGACTTCTACTTTTCTGCTAAACATGATTTGCATTCAACATCTGCTTTTCCTTATGTTAGTCTGTCTGCCTTGAAAGTTCTTCCTCTGCAACCCCACTTGTCACCCTCCGGACCCTACACGAATGCTGCCTCTACCAACAGGTCTCATCCAGTGCCCCTAGCCACAATTAATTTTCCTGTTCTCTTTGATTTTATTACATTTTGACTGCCATTACAGATTTTACAGAAGCCTCATAAAATTATGGCTTTTTGTGTCTGCATCTTTTTTCTCATAGCCTATCAAGAAATATTTGAGGTCAGGGTCAATTTCTAATTCTAGTTTTCCCCTATAGTACCATGCATGCACTTTTAAAATAAATAGTGACTTGAAAGTCAAAAGGACTTTTGTCATAGACAATCCCTTCTAATGTCTTTGGATAAGATTTAATTCATTCTTCGGTCTTTTTCTTTCTTTGGAGATTTCTCTTTCTATTAGTCATGCACATGTTTTTTTCTGATTTTAATGGCAGGCATTGCCATCATTGCTTAGGTACTTCTGTATTTGTCCATCTGCAGAAAATTTAGCGAGAATCTGCAAAGGTTTAAACTCTTTCCATGGTGAGCGTATCCAAGTAGCTGCATGAAGAAATCTAGAAAGCTTCTCCAATTTGCCTTCAGCTCAAGTAGTGTTATGCTAAGCATCATTAGGCTACCCTGAATAACAAGATTTCAAGGACTCAGTCATAGATCCTCTCAGCCAGGTTGCATTTGGAACAATAACATTCCAGTGTAATAAAATAGCTTGTGAAATAACTTGAATTTCTTCTTACTACATTCAACCTTTCACTATTTATGTTTGATTTTCTTGTCTACATTTCTGATTTTTAAAGAAGAACACTGTATAATTAGGAATGCTCTTAATTTTAGATATCAGCAGTTATGCAACTCCATTAGTATTGTTTTCCTAGGGCTGCCATAAGGAAGTACCAGAGACTGTGTGACTTCAACAACAGAAATTAATTTTCTCATATTTCTGGAGGCTAGAAGTCCAACATCAAGTAGCTAGTAGGGTTGGTTCCTTCCAAGGCCCTCTCTGGCTTGTAGGTGGCTATCTTTTATTTGTGTCTTTCCTCTGTGGCTATGTCCTAATCTCTTCTTTAAAGATTCCAGTCATATTGGATTAAGTAGGCCCCACACATAGGACATTTTACCTTAATCAGCTCTTCAAAGGCCCTATTCCTAAATACAGGCACATTATGAGGTACTGGGGGTTAGAATGTCAATGTATGAATTTGGTGGAGGGGATACAATTCAGTCCATAACGATAGTAAAGGACCTTTGAGATCTAGCTTTTAAACTAAATTGCCAGTGTGGGTTTTTCTTGTAGTTTCTTTTCATTTCAATATCAAGGTGCAGTCCCTCCTAGGGTATCCCCAGGCAGCCAGCGAGCTCCCTAGATATCTGTATTGTGGGCTATGCAGAACAATACAAAGGTTGAGAAAAATCAAAGTAGTTATATATTACTGAGAAAAACAACAACAAAATTCCTAGATTTCCAGTATTTTCTGTGTGTTTATATGTGAAAAGGCAGCCCACCAAAGCATGTCAGAGGCACAATAGTCCTGTTTCAGAATTCTTAGGTACTATTATTTATTAACTAGATGATTTTAGACAAATTATGTGACCTCTCCAAGGGTTCATTTCATTATGTGTACAGTGGGGAGAAACAGAGGTCCATGTAGGAGGACTTAAATGTGATTTTAAATACTTTTCATATTCTTGGCACAAAATGTATGTATGCACAAAATGTAAGCACAAAATGAATGCATGCCACCTTGTTAGGCACTTAAAATTTGTTAGCTCCTCTAGAGAAAATGGCAGCAAAAATAGGAAATGTCTAAGTCACAGCTATTTCTCTCCTGCCCTACCAAATCTCCTCCTGATCTCCAGCAGGACTTGAAGCATGGCTGGAAAGTTCTGTATGGAGGACTGGAAGAGAGATCACCATCCTGAGCAAACCAATGCTCTCAGAATGGGTCCCAGGTGGCCCCATTGCTGATTAGTGACTAGCAAGAGCTACCTGAATGGGAGAAGGAAGCATCACCACTGTCATTTGCACAACAAGCTCTTCTAAATCGCAAATATCTCAATAACAAAGTTGAATCTAGCAGACATAGCTCTGGGATTTCTAGAGGATTATGTTATTCTAGTGCCTTTCCATTCATGAAAGATGGAAATAATAAAGTATAACTATAATGAAAATTCAGTTGTAATTTTAAGATTGATTGTTCTGTTGGAAAAGCAATTTTTGTAAGAGATTGATATTTCTAACTAAAAGATGTCTAACTTCAAAATGTCAGCTTTTTAATGTGCATATCACACAATTTGAAAATACTGTCAGGAATTAAAGAGTGATTTGTTTCAGTTATATGATTCCTATTCAACCTCTATATATTTTAGGCCATTCAGTTTGGTAGATTTTTAAAAAGGAAATTTGCAGATTATTTGTTTTGAGGAAGAACTTCTGTTTTAAAAAGCCTAGATTATCATAACAAATATTTATGACTAGGCATACAATTTATAAATAATTCTTTCTCTCCCCTGTGAAAATTACTGCCTTACATTAGCATGCATGGTTATTTTTTCTCTTTTGGATAAGCAAAGAGAAAAAATGTGATGTGGTTTTAAACACAAAGACATGTTTAGAAGAGTTTTGCATCTATTCTACTCCCATGACTCTGCATGCAGTGTGAGCTACCACAGAGTATACAGGAATTGGTATTTTTCCCATTCCTTTTCATAGCATCATGAACTGTAGGACTTAAAAGGAGGTACTATTCCTAGGCTCTACAAAAGCTTGAAGCTTGTTTTAAAATTGTTACATTAGTCTGTCTTGCATCACTATAAAAGAATGCCTGAGCCTGGGTAATTTATGAAGATAAAAGATTTATTTGGCTCACAGTTCTGCAGGCTATACAAGCATGGCACCAGCATCTGCTCGAGTCCTGGTGAGGTCTCAGGAAGCCTTTACTCATGGAGGAAGGTGAAGAGGGAGGAGGCACGTCACAGGGCAAGAGAGGGAGCAGGAGACATGCCAGGCTCTTTTAAATGACCAGCTTTCATGTGAACTAACAAGCAAGAACTCATTAATTACTGTGAGTAATTACTGTGGGGAAGGCACCAAGCTATTCATGAAGGATCCATCCCCATGACCCAAACAACTTCCAATAGGTCCCACTTCCAACATTGGGGATCACATTTCAACATGAGACTTGGAGGAAACAAACATCCAAACTATATCAATAGGCTTATTATAAAATGGTTTAATTATCTTTGTTTTTATTTCCAGTTTCTTGGTTGCATAGTCCCTGTATTAGGTGAGATAAGCTAAGCACTGTAACAGATAGCCCAAAAAACTTGGAATAGGTCAAACCCAATTAAAGTTTATTACTCTCTCAGAAAAATAGTCCAGGTGATTCAAGTCAGGTTTATGTGCAGGGGTGGGGCAGGGAGGTCATTTAGGGTCCCAGGATGACTGGATTGTGTCTTCAATTACGGCTTCTAGGAACTCTCTGGACATCGACACCCAACTGAAGGAAGGAAAAAAGAAGCTGTCAGGTTTTCTATGGGCCAGCGCTGGAAGCTGGTCACATCATTCCTGATCATATTCCACTGGTTAGAACTCAGTCTCATGGCCAAATACCTAATGTCAGGAGACACTGAGAAATATAGTCAAGTTGTGTGCTATGGAGAAGAGAAACTGACTTTGATGACTGCTTAGTTATTCTCTACTACATTCTCTTACATGCTAAGTCTTCCTGGGGAAAAACTAAACCCTCTGTTCAGATTTTTCCACCTATGAACTAGCAGAAGTGGGAAGTATGTGAAAGGCTACATTTTACTTTGTGTGATGCCTGAAAGGTCTTCTATTTTGAGAAGCTGGTTTTCTGAGATGAATAATATCAAGAAATATTTATTGGTAAAAATACAAGCAAGACTTTGGGAACTTTTAATTTAAATGTACAATGAAATGATTTTTATCTCATTTTGTTTCTTCATGAAGGGAACTAACAATGATAATACTTAGACTTTTAAATATTTTAATCCATAACCTCTTTACTCCAGCATCACCAAAAGTAACCAGGACATAGTTAAAGAATCAAGTTGGAAATAAAAGGAGATTTGGTGGCTATCTAGGTTGAATCAATACAAAGGTAGTATAACTCGTTAGCTTCTCAGAGTCTTCTGATCTGTTGCGGCAGGAAGAGAATTGGATACATGTAGTATTAATAGATAAGAAAAGAAAAAGAAAAAAAATTAAAATCATTTTCCTTTTTCCTTTCTTTCCTCCTGCATCACATCAGTTTTATCGTCAATATTTACAGAAGTGGTAGCTTTTCTCTGGATCCAATAAAGTGCACGTAGATTTCAACACAAGACTGAGCCTAGTTAACAGGAACCCACTAGAACCTTCCCAAAGGGGAAGTTATATAGGAGTGCAGTAAGAGCTAATTGTCCATGAATCCAGGTAATGCCTGTTTACTGGAGAGCTTTCACATTGCTATAGATAAGGGAAATAAAAGTGAGGTAAGGAGGAGTCTTATTTGTTACATCTAGGTCCAGAGCCAAGCATAACCCACATATTTAGAAAGCTCTACAGTGATACTGATGAGCCCTAAGGTCGAAAACCACTGATCTCCTAAGATAAACATGCATTTCTAAATGATGAAAGGGGTGGTTCAGTTGTAATATGAAGCTGAGACTGGTCAGACGGCTAATGATATTTAGGTCATGATGAAAAACTAGCTCAACAAAGCATCCCTCTGTGAAATGTGATGCGGTTACAATAAATGTTTTCCAATTGTGCATTTTAATTAAGTTGGATGTAGATGAGCAGCCAAATTGATGTTTGCAGTCAAAAACAAATATAAGATTGACACTTAGGCAAATCACTCTCAGACATAAAATTTGGCAAAAAAAAAAAAAAAAAAAAAAAAACGCGAAGCAAGCAACTCTACAACATCACCTAGGCATAGCTCTTCTAGCTGCTTGGAACAAAATTATTTGTCTACATTGCCATTATCTCTGGATTGTTGTAGTATTTATTGAATGCGAAGGAGGGCATCATGTGTAAGTCATCATTTCCTGGTAAGAGTGAGGTGCACTCTTTCCTTATATCTGACTGATTTACTGAAACTGACAGGCAATAATGAATTACGTAACCATAATGGAATTCACATATTAGTCAGAACATATTATTTTAAATTAGCCACACTTTGAAAATTTAAACACCTTTAAGTCCAAGACACTACTTAACATGAAAACATTACTTAAAAATTTAAGTTACATTCCCTGTTTTAACAGCTGAGTTTAAGTACTTTTTGTAAATATTGCCTTTTTATATTTCCCTTTCTTAATTGCACCCTCCTCTCAGATATTTTATTACTGGCTTAAATTCTGAACTGTTTTCCACTGACAAACAAAATAAAGGCTTGTTTAATTCAGTTAGGTCAGGCTTCTAAGTTTTTGCAGTTGTAAATTTGATTGTCATATTTCTAAACTATTTCCTACATATTTTACCCTGTGATTACAAAATTATGTTCTCATAATTTCTATGTGTTCCATTCAGCATTTATAAAGAGGTAGGTATCTATTTAAAGAAATGTGTGAACATATCATTTAATACATAGCTTGCTTTTTTTCAATTGATTTTCCTTTAATTCAACACAATTGTATATCACAAAACCTATGTACATATACAAAAACTTGTAAGTGAAATAAATCTATAAATGAAATTATTTGGATACATTTAGAGTTCAAAAGTGTCCTATATTCACCTAATGTTCAGAGGGGGAAAACTTGTTCCAACTTTCCACCCAAGATCAGCCTCCTGTTCATGTTGCTGCAATGAAGACAAATGACTGAGGTATATGAAGTATGATCCTGCTCACAGGCCATTAAGTGTGGTTAGATTCCTGGTCAAAATTACTAGAAGCTTGAGCACCTTTTCAGATCTCCACTGATTTGTGTCTTGTTCCTTCCCTATAGGCAGGTGGGCTTCTATTTGCAAGTACAGTCTTGGCATTCATCAATGTACAACAGTAGGAAAAAGATATAAAAGGTCACAATAACAACATAAGGAAATTCAGCTGAGAGAAATTACTACTTAGAGATTCTAAAGAAAGCAGAGCACTATTTGAAGGCCTAACTTTCTAATAGTTCTCAATGCCCTGGCCAAATTCCATTGCCTTTTAATTCAATTCTTCAGAGAGAGACAATTCACTTTAATATGTTCCCAAAGTAGAAGCTTGCTGTGATGTGATTAGCATTGAAAATAAAGTTTTTGTAGCACAATATTTTGAACTATTTATTCCTGGCAACAGTGAAACTTCTGGATTCTCACTGTTAAAAATTCGAATTTTACATATTAATTGAAAGTCTTCAGGAAGGCAACTATATTGTTAAAACTGTGTATTTAGGTACGTACACAATTTTACATAATCCAAGATATGTGAACTGGAGCACACTGAAGTGGGAACCTCAGAATCTTCTCTAGTGCCTTCTCATAGGTAGTTCCTGCCTTCTTAGCACTCCATTGTCTGTTCCTCCAGTAGAAAGCAAATCAAAGACAGCAGCATAAGGCTTGAGTGATAGGATTCTCAGAGTAGATGCTTTTGCAAAAAATAAATATCCGTATTTTTCTAGTTCAATTAACTTCTTTCAAAGTAATGTGACTCATAGATTGCCTTTCACTGCAAACACCACTCTGCCTAGGCAATTTTCTTCTGGCAACTTTTCTAGATCTTTCCAGGCTGGATCCAGTGCCCACCTCTACTTTCTACTATTGCAATTATTGTGCTATATTGCAATGATTGTTTCTCTCATTTGTCTTCTTCCACTAGAAACTGAGCACCTTGAAGGATCATATATGTGCTCCTGGAACAGATATTTGGTTCAACAAACATTGAATGAATGAACAACATAATATCAAAAAAGTTGTAAAAAGTATTCAGAAGTTAACTTTTTAAGTGTTCAGCTGGACTCTACTCTGTGGTAACATATTAGGGTAACTGATATTGCAACATTGCTGATATGGGGCAGCACAGTTAATCTGATGAGTTTAATATCTAAAAGAATCATTTCATCTGGTGGGATCAGAACTGTAGCTTAGGCTTCCTGATTGCCAGCCTGAGACTTTTCCTACTCCATTAATGTCCTGCTGTCCTTATGTATATGTGGAAGAAATTTCTGTATAATGTTGCTCAAATAATGTTACTTTCATTGAATATATAACATGGTAGGAAGAGAGGTAAAAAAGGTCAGTATATAATGTGTATAGAAAACAAAATATATTAGTTGTATTTCTATTTTTGTAACTGTTATGCTTTAACATTTATTTGTCTTTGGAATGGGTTGGAGATTATAGAACATTCTGGGTAGGATGAGAACTTATTTGTCTTAGTAATGAAAGAGAAAAATTACAGGATTGTTTTGTATATTTTTATCATTCTCATGGAAAGTAAGAAATAGATGTACCGGGAAAACCCTTTGCTCACCTACTCCTATTCATAAGTGAAGCTTTCTTAAAATAAGTGCTAGTCATAGTTGTATTTGTGAATGTTTACGCAATTATCTCTGTGTTGTGTGAAATATGAGTGTATACACCTGACTGTTTTTGGCTAACTCCTGTGATTCTGAATAAAAAAAAAATATCTTTCTCAGGCTCTCCCCTCTGCATTTCCACTGCCTCTGCCTTGGTTCTAATTTATACAACCTTTTCAAATACAGACTTTTAGATTAAGAAAACAGTGCTCACACACTGTAAAAATGAAAATCATACAGAAATATTTAAAAATATCTCTTCATGCTTAACCAACTATGCTTTACCACCCAAGCTGGCTTCATGGGCATGTGACCTGGACGGTCTTGCAGGGCCACATGCTTTGAAGGGTCTTGTGCTTGGTTCATTGCTCTTCTATTGTCTTTTTTTCCCCAAACTTCAACTTTTATTGCAGATATGGCGTATGTGTGCAGGTTTGCTGCATGAGTATATTGCATGATGCTGAGGTTTGAGATATGGATCCTGCTATGCAGATAGTGAGCACAGTACCCAATAGGTAATTTTTCTACCTATAGCCCCTCCCTTTCGTCCCCAGTAGTCTGTAGCATCTATTGTTCCCATGTTTATGTCCATGTCTGCTTAATGTTTAGCTCTCACTTACAAGTGAGAAAATGTAGTATTTTATTTTCTGTTCCTGTGTTAATTTGCTTAGAATTATGGCCTCCAGCTGCATTCATGTTTCTGCAAAGGATGCGATTTTGCTCTTTTTATGACTGTGTAGTATTCCATGGAATGTATATATGTACCACATTTTCTTTATCCAGTTCACCATTGAAGGGCACCTAGGTTGATTCCATGTCTTTGCTATTGTGAATAGTGTGGTGATGAACATACGAGTGCATGCGTCTTTTTGGCAGAACAATTTATTTCCTTTGGGAAGGAAATAAATAAATAAATATACCCAGTAATGGGTTTGCTGGGTCAAATAATAGCTCAGTTTTAAGTTCTTTGAGAAATCTCCAAACTGCTTTCCACAGTGGCTGAACTAATTAACATTCCCACCAACAGTGTATAAGTGTTCTTTTTGCTCTGCAGCCTCTCCAGCATCCGTTGTTTTTTGACTTTTCAGTAATAGCCATTCTGACTGGTATGAAATGGTATCTTATTGCTGTTTTCTTTTAGGATTTTTATAGCTTGAGGTCTTACATTTAAATCTTTAATACATCTTGAAATAATTTTTGTATATGGTGAAAAGTAAGGGTCCGGTTTCATTCTTCTGCATATGTCTAGCCAGTTATCCCAGCACCATTTATTGAATAAAGAGCCTTTCACCATTGCTTGCTTTCACTGGCCTTGTTGAAGATCAGATGGTTGTAGATATGCAGCTTTATCTCTGAGTTTTCTATTCTGTTCCACTTGTCTATGTGTCTGGTTTTGAGTCAGTACCATGTTGTTTTGGTTATTGCAGCTTTATAGTATAGTTTGAAGTTGGGTAGTTATGTCTTTGGCATAAGCTTTGTTTTTTTTTTTTGTTTTGTTTTTTTTTTTTGCTTAGGATTGCTTTAACTATTAGGGCTCTTTTTTGGTCCCATATGAATGTTAGAATAGTTTTTCCCAGTCTATGAAAAGTGACATTGGTAGTTTGATAGGAAGAGCATTGAATCTGTAATTTCTTTGGGCAGTATGGCCATTTTAACAATATTAATTATTCCAATCCATGAACATGTAAGGTTTTTCCATTTATTTATGTCATCTCTGATTTTTTCAGCAGTATTTTGAAGTTATCCTCATAGAGATCTTTCACCACCTTGCTTATCTGTATTCCTAGGTATTTCATTTTCATTGTGGCTATTGTAAATGGGATTGTGTTCTTGATTTGACTCTCAGCCTGGACATTATTGGTGTATAGAAATGCTACTGAGTTTTGTACATTGATTTTGTATCCTAAAACTTCACTAAAATTGTTTATTAGTTCTAAGAGCCTTTTGGCATTCTCTAGGGTTTTCTAGGTATAGAATCATATCGTTAACAAAGAGAGTTAGTTTGACTTTTTTTCCTATTTTGATGCCATTTATTTCTTTCTCTGCCTGATTGCTCTGGCTAGAACTTCCAGTACTATGTTGAATAGGAGTGGTAAGAGTAGGTATACCTGTTTTGTTCCAGTCCTCAAGGGGAACAGTGCCAGTTTTTGCCCATTCCATATGATGTTAGCTGTGGGTTTGTCATAGATGGCTCTTATTATTTTGAAGTATGTTCTTTCAATTGATGCCTAGTTTGTTGAGAGTTTTTTATCATGAAGGAATGTTGAAATTTATAAGAAGCTTTTTCTATATGTATTGAGATGATTATGTGACTTTTTGCTTTCATTCTTTTTATGTGGTGAATCACATTTACTGATTTGCATACATTGAATCAGCCTTCCATCCCAGGAATAATGCCTACTTGGTTGTAGTGTATTAATCTTTTGATGTGTTGCTGAATTCGGTTTGCTAGTATTTGGTTGAGAATCTTTGCATCTATGTTCATCAGGCAAACTGGGCTGAAGTTTTCTATTTTCATTGTGTCTCTGCCAGATTTTGGTATCAGGCTGATGCTAACTTCATAGAATGAGTTAAGGAGGAATCCCTCCTCTTTGATTTTTTGGGATAGTTTCAGTAGCATTGGTACCAATTCTTTTTTGTACATCTGGTAGAATTTGGCTGTGAATCCATCTGGGTCAGGTCTTGTTTTGATTGGTATGTTTTTTTTTTTAATTACTGATTCAATTTCAGAGCTCAATATTGGTCTATTCAAAATTTTGATCTCTTCCTTTTCAATTTTGGGAGTTTGTGTGTTTTTAGGAATTTATCCATTTCCTCTAGATTTTCTAATTTGTGTGCAAAGAGTTATTCATAGTATTCTCTGAGGATCTTTTGTATGCTGTGGAATCAGTTGTAATATCATCTTTGTCATTTATGATTGTACTTATTTGGATCTCTCTTTTTTGTTGTTGTTAATCTAGTTAGTCTATCAGTCTTACTTATCTTTTTGAAGAACCGACTTCTGTTTTCACTGATCTTTTGTAAGGATTTTTACATCTCTGTTTTGTTCAGTTCTTCTCTAACATTAGTTATTTATTTTTTTCTGCTAGGTTTTGGCTTAGTTTGTTCTCTTTTTTCTAATTCCTTTTGGTGGAAACTTATATTGTTGATTTGAGACCTCTCTTACTTTTTGAGGAAGGTGGTTAGTGCTATAAACTGTCCTCTTAACACAACTTTAGTTGTATTCCAGAGATTTTGGTAATTGAGTTGCTATTTTTATTAATTTCAAACAAATTTTAAATTTATGCCTTAATTTCATTCTTCTCCCAAAAGTTATTCAGGAGCAAGTTGTTTAATATTCATGTATTTGAGTAGATTTAAGGGATCTTCTTGATATTGATTTCTGTTTTTATTGTACTGTGGTGTGAGAATGTGCTTTGTATGATTTAATTTTTTGGAATCTGTTGAGATTTGCTTTATGTTCAAGCATGTATTCAATCTTAGAATATGTTCTGTGTGTAGATGAGAAGACTATATATTCTGTGGTTGTTGGGTGGAGCGTTCTGTAGGTGTTTATTAGGTCCAATTGGTCAAGTGATTTTAAGTCCAGAGTTTCTTTGTTAGTTTCCTGCCTTGAAGGTCTGTCTAATGCTGTCAGTGGGGTGTTAAAGTCTCCCACTATTATTGTGTCTAAATCTGTTCATAGGCCAACAAGAACGTGTTTTATGAATCTAGGTGCTTCAATATTTGGTGTATAAATATTTAAGATAGTTAAATCTCCTTGTTGGATTTACTCTTTATTATTATATAATACCTTTCTTTGTCCTTCTTAATTTGTATTGGTTTAAAGTCTATTTTATCTGATATAAAATAGCAACTCCTGCTCTTTTTTGTTTGTATGGTATAACTTTCTTCATCCCTTTACTTTGAGCTTGTGGGTGTTCTTACATCAAGATGGGTCTCTTGAAGACAGAAAATGGTTGAGTCTTATCTTTTTACCCAGATTGCTACTCTGTGCATTTAAAATATGTCATTTAGCCCATTTACATTTAGGGTTAGTATTGATATGTGAGATTTTGATCCTGTCATCATTTTATTAGCTGGTTGTTATGTAGACTAGATTGTGTAATTGCTTTACAGTGCCAGTGAGCTATGTTCCTTTTTTTTATTTTATTATTATTATACTTTAAGTTTTAGGGTACATGTGCACACCATGCAGGTTTGTTACATATGTATACATGTGCCATGTTGGTGTGCTGCACCCATTAACTCGTCATTTAGAATTAGGTATATCTCCTAATGCTATCCCTCCCCCCACCCCCCACCCCACAACCGTCCTCGGTGTGTGATGTTCCCCTTCCTGTGTCCATATGTTCTCATGGTTCAATTCCCACCTATGAGTGAGAACATGAGGTGTTTGGTTTTTTGTCCTTGTGATAGTTTGCTGAGAATGATGGTTTCCAGCTTCATCCATGTCCCTACAAAGGACATGAACTCATCATTTTTTATGGCTGCATCATATTCCATGGTGTATATGTGCCACATTTTCTTAATCCAGTCTATCATTGTTGGACATTTGGCTTGGTTCCAAGTCTTTGCTATTGTGAATAGTGCCGCAATAAACATACGTGTGCATGTGTCTTTATAGCAGCATGATTTATAATCCTCTGGGTATATACCCAGTAATGGGATGGCTGGGTCAAATGCTATTTCTAGTTGTAGATCCCTGAGGAATTGCCACACCAACTTCCACAATGGTTGAACTAGTTTACAGTCCCACCAACAGTGTAAAAGTGTTCCTATTTCTCCACATCCTCTCCAGCCTGTTGTTTCCTGAGTTTTTAATGATCACCATTCTAACTGGTGTGAGATGCTATCTCACTGTGGTTTTGATTTGCATTTCTCTGATGGCCAGTGATGATGAGCATTTTTTCGTGTGTTTTTTGGCTGCATAAATGTCTTCTTTTGAGAAGTGTCTGTTCATATCCTTTGCCCACTTTTTGATCGGGTTGTTTTTTTCTGGTAAATTTGTTTGAGTTCATTGTAGATTCTGGATATTAGCCCTTTGTCAGATGAGTAGGTTGCGAAAATTTTCTCCCATTTTGTAGGTTGCCTGTTCACTCTGATGGTAGTTTCTTTTGCTGTGCAGAAGCTCTTTAGTTTAATTAGATCCCATTTGTCAATTTTGGCTTTTGTTGCCATTGCTTTTGGTGTTTTAGACATGAAGTCCTTGCCGATGTCTATGTCCTGAATGGTATTGCCTAGGTTTTCTTCTAGGGTTTCTTCTGTGGTTTTAGGTCTAACATGTAAGTCTTTAATCCATCTTGAATTAATTTTTGTATAAGGGGTAAGGAAGGGATCCAGTTTCAGCTTTCTACATATGGCTAGCCAGTTTTCCCAGTATCATTTATTAAATAGGGAATCCTTTCCCCATTGCTTGTTTTTGTCAGGTTTGTCAAAGATCAGATAGTTGTAGATATGCGGCGTTATTTCTGAGGGCTCTGTTCTGTTCCATTGGTCTATATCTCTGTTTTGGTACCAGTACCATGCTGTTTTGGTTACTGTAGCCTTGTAGTATAGTTTGAAGTCAGGTAGCGTGATGCCTCCAGCTTTGTTCTTTTGGCTTAGGATTGACTTGGCAATGCGGGCTCTTTTTTGGTTCCATATGAACTTTAAAGTAGTTTTTTCCAATTCTTTGAAGAAAGTCATTGGTAGCTTGATGGGGATGGCATTGAATCTGTAAATTACCTTGGGCAGTATGGCCATTTTCACAATATTGATTCTTCCTACCCATGAGCATGGAATGTTTTTCCATTTGTTTGTATCCTCTTTTATTTCCTTGAGCAGTGGTTTGTAGTTCTCCTTGAAGAGGTCCTTCACATCCCTTTAAGTTGGATTCCTAGGTATTTTATTCTCTTTGAAGCAATTGTGAATGGGAATTCACTCATGATTTGGCTCTGTTTGTCTGTTATTGGTGTACGAGAATGTTTGTGATTTTTGCACATTGATTTTGTATCCTGAGACTTTGCTGTAGTTGCTTATCAGCTTAAGGAGATTTTGGGCTGAGACAATTGGGTTTTCTAGATATACAATCATGTCACCTGCAAACAGGGACAATTTGACTTCCTCTTTTCCTAATTGAATGCCCTTTATTTCCTTCTCCTGCCTGATTGCCCTGGCCAGAACTTCCAACACTATGTTGAATAGGAGTGGTGAGAGAGGGCATCCCTGTCTTGTGCCAGTTTTCAAAGGGAATGCTTCCAGTTTTTGTCCATTCAGTATGATATTGGCTGTGGGTTTGTCATAGATAGCTGTTATTGTTTTGAGATACGTCCCATCAATACCTAATTTATTGAGAGTTTTTAGCATGAAGGGTTGTTGAATTTTGTCAAAGGCCTTTTCTGCATCTATTGAGATAATCATGTGGTTTTTGTCTTTGGTTCTGTTTATATGCTGGATTATGTTTATTGATTTTCATATGTTGAACCAGCCTTGCATCCCAGGGATGAAGCCCACTTGATCATGGTGGATAAGTTTTTTGATGTGTTGCTGGATTCGGTTTGCCAGTATTTTATTGAGGATTTTTGCATCAATGTTCATCAAGGATATTGGTCTAAAATTCTCTTTTTTTGTTGTGTCTCTGCCAGGCCAGTATCAGGATGATGCTGGCCTCATAAAATGAGTTAGGGAGGATTCCCTTTTTTTCTATTGATTGGAATAATTTCAGAAGGAATGGTACCAGCTCCTCCTTGTACCTTGGGTAGAATTTTGCTGTGAATCCATCTGTCTTGGACTTTTTTTGGTTGGTAAGCTATTAATTATTGCCTCAATTTCAGATCCTGTTATTGGTCTATTCAGAGATTCAACTTCTTCCTGGTTTAGTCTTGGGAGGGTGTATGTGTTGAGGAATTTATCCATTTCTTCTAGATTTTCTAGTTTATTTGCATAGAGGTGTTTATAGTATTCTCTGATGGTAGTTTGTATTTCTGTGGGATCGATGGTGATATCCCGTTTGTCATTTTTTATTGCATCTATTTGATTCTTCTTTCTTTTCTTATTAGTCTTGCTAGCGGTCTATCAATTTTGTTGATCTTTTCAAAAAACCAGCTCCTGGATTCACTGATTTTTTGAAGGGTTTTTTGTGTCTCTATTTCCTTCAGTTCTGCTCTGATCTTAGTTATTTCTTGCCTTCTGCTAGCTTTTGAATGTGTTTGCTCTTGCTTCTCTAGTTCTTTTAATTGTGATGTTAGGGTGTCAATTTTAGATCTTTCCTGCTTTCTCTTGTGGGCATTTAGTGCTATAAATTTCCCTCTACACACTGCTTTGAATGTGTCCCAGAGATTCTGGTATGTTGTGTCTTTGTTCTCGTTGGTTTCAAAGAACATCTTTATTTCTGCCTTCATTTCGTTATGTACCCAGTAGTTATTCAGGAGCAGGTTGTTCAGTTTCCATGTAGTTGAGCAGTTTTGAGTGAGTTTCTTAATCCTGAGTTCTAGTTTGATTGCAGTGTGGTCTGAGAGACAGTTTGTTATAATTTATGTTCTTTTACATTTGCTGAGGAGTGCTTTACTTCCAACTATGTGGTCAATTTTGGAATAGGTATGGTGTGGTGCTGAAAAGAATGTATATTCTGTTGATTTGGGGTGGAGAGTTCTGTAGACGTCTATTAGTTCCGCTTGGTGCAGAGCTGAGTTCAATTCCTGGATATCCTTGTTAACTTTCTGTCTTGTTGATCTGTCTAATGTTGACAGTGGGGTGTTAAATTCTCCCATTATTATTGTGTGGGAGTCTAAGTCTCTTTATAGGTCACTAAGGACTTGCTTTATGAATCTGGGTACTCCTGTATTGGGTGCATATATATTTAGGATAGTTAGTTCTTCTTGTTGAATTGATCCCTTTACCATTATGTAATGGCCTTCTTGTGGTAGCAGGTGCTGATCTTTTAATTCCATGTTCAGCACTCCCTTAAGGACCTCTTGTAATGCTGGTGGTCTATTTGAAACAAATTCCCTCAGTGTTTGCTTATCTGAGAATGATTTTATTTCTCCTTCACTTATAAAGTTTATTTTAGTGGGATATAAAATTATTGGTTGGAATTTCTTTTCTTTAAAGATGCTAGAAATAGGCCCCTAATCTCTGGCTTGTAAGGTTTCTGCTGAAAGGTCTGCTGCCAGCCTAATGTGGTTCCCTCTGTATGAGACTTGACCCTTCTCTCTAGCAAGCTGCCTTTAAAATTTTTTCTTTTATATTGATCTTGGTGAATCTGATGAGTATGTTCTTTGGGGATGGTCATTTCATATAGCATATAGCTGGAGTTCTCCATGTTTTTTGAATGTGCATGTTAACCTCTTTCATGAGATTAGGGAAATTTTCATGAACTATATCATCAAATGTATTTTCTAAGTTGTCTATTATCTCTCCCCTCTCAGGAATGCCAATGAGTTGCAGATTTGTTCTGTTTATATAATCTCATATTTCTTGGAGTTTTTGTTTAATTTTTTCAAGTACTTTTTTCTTTATTCTTGTTTGAGTTGATTCAAAGAACCCGTTTTTGAGTTTGGAGAGTCTTTCCTCAGCCTGGTCTATTCTGCTGCTAATACTTCTGATTGTATTATGAAATTCTTACAGTGAATTTTTTCAAGTCTAGAAGTTAAATTTGAATCTTTCTCAAAATGGCTATTTCATCTTTGAACTCTTGAATCATTTTATGGATTTCTTGGATTGAGTTTCAACTTTCTGTTGAATCTTGATGAGTTTCTTTGACATCCATATTCTGAATTCTATGTCTATCATTTCAGTCATTTTATACTGATTAAGAAACATGGCTGAGAAGCTAGTGGACTCATTTGGAGGTAAGAGAACACTCTAGTTTTTAAATTGCCAGAATTCTTAGGCTGATTCTTTCTTATTTGGGAGAGTTAGTGTTCCTTTAAATGTGGTGTGAGTTGAGTATAGTCACTTGGCTTTATTTCTGGATGTTTTCAAAGGGCAAGGCTCTGTACGGCATCTTTATTTGTGGCTTAATGCTTTTTTTTTTTTTTTTTTTGTTTCACAGGGTGCTGCTATATTAGCAAAATCTTTTTGGTGTGGCAGTTTGGGCTATGATCCAGTAGATGGCATATAAAAGTAATATGTGTTAGGCCCTTACTCAGCCACAGGGCTCCTCTGTATTTATTCAAGTTTGCAGCCATGCTCTGTAGTATGGTGGGGAGAGAGGTCACCTCCTCTCATTAGTCCTGCTCCTACATCTTTGGGGAGCCCCCTTTAATCACTGGTACTGTGTCTGCATTTCTTTTGTTAGGTGATCCAAGCTGTGGGGCTCCCTGAACAGAGGCTCCGGCAAGGAGATAGGCCACATTCTTTCCAGGCTGGTCCTGTGGAGGGAGGCATGGCTTGCTCCTGTTCCAGCCCATGAAACCACACATGTCATCCCTCTTAGTGCTCTGAGAATGTGGGTTTGTTTCCCACTTGAGTGCTGGCCACATATCCTGGCTCAGCACTCTTGAGCTGCACACTGCAGCCTTGGGCACCAGGATCAGCTAGTGGCTCTATCCTTTGAACCCTTGGAGTTAGGTTTCAGGTGCGCTAGGGGATCTAAAGTGCTCCCAGGCCATCAGGAACATAATCAGGTGGAGCAAAGCATCCAGCTGTGCAGTGGAGGCTGCTGTGCACATGCTCCTGCAGAGAAGCCAGGCAGGGTGGGCAGGAGGGTCTGCAGAACAGATATGCCCCAGTCCTGTGGGGAAGTTGGCCCTATTTTCTTCTGGCTAAGCAGTAGGCTGGGGATAAAACTTCTTGGAGGGAGATAGGGAAACTTGGGGGATGGGTGCCTATAGCCAGAGATGGGTTCCGCCAGAGATGTGTTGTGCACTAAGGCCCCTGTTTCTGCACTGGCTCAGGTACCATCTATGTCTACTCTCTGGACAGATTCCCCTGTCAGCTCAAATGTCCGTGGGGTATGTTGGGTCCCCTGTAGCCAGGAATCCAGAAGTCCACAGCAAGTGTGGGTAGTCCCACAGTTCCTTCACTCATCTATTCCCCGGGACCCATTCAGGGCTGGGAACTAGCCCCAGTGTTTGGGTACCCTGGACAGGGTTACCAGCCTCCTCCCTCCTCAGCCTTAGCATCTGTGTTGCCATCTGCTTTTGGCGTTTTCTCTCCAAAGATCTGTCCAAATGTTGGTTTACTTGAAACCTTGATCTCTCTCAGGCATTTCTTGGCTATGTCACTGGCCCTCTTGTTCACCTTTTGTTCTACTATTGTCTTGAAACTCTTAATAAATTTTGAACACAGGATCCTGTATTTTTATTTTGCACCCTGCCCCTCTCCCACTCCTCTCCCCCTATCAAATTACTCTTAACTGTTTGTTACTTCAAGAAATTCTCTATGCATGTAAACATGTTTGTAGGTATGCGTTGGATTTTACATCAACGGGATTATTCTGGATATAGTCTATAATTGCTTTGCCTCCTCAATTATGCATGTTGGAATTTTCCCATTACACAGCCTCTGCCTCCCTAGCATCTATTTTTTATTACCCCTAAAGAGCCTCCATGCTGCTGCGGCATGGCCTTTCTAATGCTGGTTGTGCCACTTCTCTGTTAAAAATGGATAATGCTTGCCTTTTGCATATAGAATAAATTAGCGTCTTGATAAATACATCAGTCTATGTAGACCTATTGGCAGTGTGTTGGCAAATTTGAATTTCTGAGCATGCAAGTTCTGAAGAACACCTGCAAACTAGGAGAGTCACAAAGATAAGCCCTTTTGCTGTGCAGCAAGCTAACTGGTCTTCTGAAGTCTCATTTAAGCACGGACTTTTATTTTCAAATTTTGCAATACCCTCTCTCATTAACAGGTATGAACAATGATCTTTTTTTTTTAACCACTACTTTGTAGAGTCATTAATAATCAGCCTAGAAATTAGTAAAGATAATGTTGTGGGCTGAAAGTTTATGTTTCCTCCAAATGCATATGTTGAAACACTAATCTCCAATGTGATGCTATTAGGAGGTAGAGGTCTTTGGGAGGTCATTACGTTTAGATAAGGTCATAATGATAGAGGCTTCATGATGGGATTAGTTTCCTTATAAGAGTCAGGGACTAAAACTCTTTCTCTCTCTTTGCTGTGTGATGACAAAGCAAGAAGGCAGTCAACAGAAGCCAGGAAGAGGGCTATCCCAAGAACCTGACCATACTGACACCTTGATCTAGGACTCCGTAGCCTCCAGAACTGTGAGAAATAAGTGTCTGGTCTTTAAGCCACCCAGTCTATTGTATGTTATTATAGCAGCTCGAGCTAAGACAAACAGGGAAGAGGGCCTTTAGCTTTTTACAAAGTTGATTCATCTACCACAGAGGGTTATTTTACAGATGAAGAAAATGAGCCTGAGAAACAAGACGTGTCGTGTCCAAAACCGTAGGATTTAGTGATGAACTTAAATGAACATCTACTGCTTTTCAGGTTAATAGACTGTGACAGTTTCTTGGAATTTTTCTGAACACCCTAAATTCTGAGGTCAGAATGGTATTCTGAGCTTAGAGAAGTCTGGCTGTGTGGCAACAGCTATTGTCATTGCTCCCAGTGCAACATTTATAGGATATGGAGGCTGGATTATCCAAGGTGATGGTTTAAAATGCCTGTGGAGGGCTGGGCATGGTGGCTCACACCTGTAATCCCAGCACTTAGGGAGGCCGAGGCGGGTGGATCACTTGAGGTCAGGAGTTCGAGACCAGCCCTGGCCAACATAGTGAAACCCCGTCTCTACTATAATTACAAAAAATTAGCCAGGCGTGGTGGCAGGCGCCTGTAATCCCAGCTACTCGGGAGGCTGAGGCAGGAGACGCGCTTGAACCTAGGAGGTGGAGGTTGCATTGAGCTGAGATCACGCCATTGCACTCCAGCCTGGGTGACAGTGTGAGACAAAAAAAAAAAAAATGCCTGTGGAGTAGCCACACCCATACATGTATGATCATCAGTGAATTACTCAATCTCTCTGAGCTTTACTTATCTTAAGCAGAAAAAAGATATGATAATATCTACCTTAGCTGCAATTAGGAATAAATACACTTTTAATTTATTCATTTACTTGATAAATATTTATTAAGTTACTATTCTGCGTCAAAAATTATGCTCAACAATGAGATTATGGCGGTGGATTAAACACATTCCCTGCCCTTTTGAAGCTTACAGTCTGGTGGGATTTAAAGTGTAACAAATTTAGCAAGAAACACAGTTTCTTGCACAAAATCAATGCTCAATTAATAACACTGCAACATAAGTTCCTAAATGATTTTCTTCCCTTCTTTTTTTAAAAAAAGGAACTAACACTACTGATTGATCTTTAGAGACATTCTCAATCATGAAAATTGGAACATTTATATTGAAATCACCATGAAGAAGATGTCCATCTTTCTGTCCTGCCCCTCAGCTCCTGTTATTCTTCTTTAACTATTTGCTAGTAAATTGGCATACCTTCTGCCCAGGCCTTTTTTTCTATGTGTTTTAATAGAGCTTTGTGAAAATCAGCTTTTGAAATCAGTCTTGCTCATGTGTGAGAGCTTACAAACTGTATAAGGAAATGTCCATCTAATAAAAAGCACTTTGAAAATTGGGTTAAGGATTACTTACTTGATGTTAACCAAGCATCTCAGTCTATGTGCCCATTTTGCATATCCGAGAGTTCTGCCAGACTCTACCTAGTCAGAGCATGCCTAGCAAGAAGACACTGCATGTCCCAGAAATCAGCTTAGAAGCCTCACTAAAGGAAAAATCAGCCTAGTGAGGTCCATGTGAGACCTGCCCAGGAATATGAAAGAAGATCAGTAAGGTTAGTGCGTAAAAACAATCCCATGCACTTGGAAAGCTCTAGAAGTGAGTCTCACATGCAGGACCTTTTGATTTCCTGTGCTGAGCTGCAGATGTCTGTTTTCACAGCAGTGCCTGCCAGAGCTGCAGTTGACAAGGCCAGCTGCTCTCAACTGCCAACTGTCAGTTGACGTGGCAAGCTCCTACCAATTTGTGCTGAGAAAACAGCATGGAATCGGGTCAGCATAGGACAAGACTTTAATATCCTCCATCTGTCAAACAGAGTTACTTGGAGAAAACTGAACATTTGGAGCGGGAATTGTTCAGGCTATTCTATGATAACATCTATACATGATTCAAAAAGCCATATTGCATTCAGTTAGTTTTCCTCTGCTGTGAGACAGCAGGAATTGGTCTAGTAGATACAACTATACGATTTTTAGTACTTCAGGTGGCATACATTAAAGGCTTCCCCCACTAGATCCAGAACCTACCTTCCTTCCTCCCAGGCACTGCTGGAGTTGAGGCTTAGTTAGGACACCATATTGGCAGTTGTGGGGCTGCCAGGTTATTTCTCTCCAGTCACACGTCCTGTTGTCCGAACAACTAAGGCAAGGCACAATCCACTGGCCTGGAATAGATGGCAAAACTTTCTTTGGTTCTGTTTCTGCTGGTGAAGTTTGTAAGTAACTTTAAAATTCAGCTATGGCACACCATTTCAGAAATTATAGTAAGACCATCCTTATCCTTTAAATCTAGTGGAATAATGAAGGCATGGCTTCCTGCCAACCAAATAGAATAGCAACATTAAGTAATGTTCTGAAATAACACATTTCATGCTAAAATCAAGTATGAGCTCTGTTCCATGAAACCTTATACTTATTAAAAATCTAAGTATTACTCAATCATTACCTATTTTTAAACAGTACATTGAACACTTCAGTAAGACCAAAGCATTAATAGACTGGGAGCCCCACAAATTGGCAGTTAGCCTCAAATATTTATTAGCCTAACACATGCATAGGTTCTCTGTCCATAAGTATAATAGATCTATTCCCTGCTCTCAAGGGATTTAAGATACAAGAGAACTACTTCAGTATGATGATAATTTATTATTTTGAAGATTAGTTATTTTTCTTTGATTTGATTGATGGCCTTTTTCGTGTGAATGTCTTCACCTCTTTCTAGCTGTTGCCTGAATTTCTTCATCTGTTAGATGAGGTGTGTACAGTTCTTCTCACATGATTGGTGTAACAATGTAATGGAATAATGTATTTAAGACACATTTGCAATATTGTATTCATCTTTTGTTACTAACAGAGTTCAGGTAGAAAGTAGGTCCCAAGCTTTAGCAAATGTTTATAAAATAAATGAATATTCTCTATGCATTTAAGATCTTTCCTGTTTTACTGATAAAACAACATTCATGCAAAACACTTCAGCTTTTAGTGTGAGTGGATACATTAATAATGTGGTAGAAAAATATAATTTTTTTGTTTTTTTTTCCTTGTTCATCGTTTCAGGAATTGAGTGTGAACATAGCACATCATATGAACAAATATGGAGTGGTTATTTCTCTCCTTGTTGGAGAACATATGCAATTATTTCTCTGATAATCACTCTCCTTACCCTAAATATCTTGCTTATGTTACTAGTATATGTTTACCCTTCAAAACTGAGGAGCTAAATATCACCCAGATAGTTCTTGAGTTAGAAAGGAAAAAACTTAAAAACTTTGTCCATTCTGGCTTTGATTAGTGGTACTGCTAATAATGGTATCTGGTGTTATATTAATTTTAGGGGAAAGGATTTCTGTTTTTAGGAGATGAATATAGTGCATTTTATATTCATGACTTCAGGGATGTTAGAATTGTGAATGTGTTTGTGTATGTGGAAATAGTTATTAATATAAAATATGAAAGATGATATAGTTTATGGCTCTTACTGATTGAACACAGAAAGAGAAAGAAATGTAGGTATATTAAGAGAGAGAAACTGGAAGAGATAAAAGAAAATCGGAGGGAAAGGAGATGAGAAAAGTATGAACTCCAGGAAAGGAAAGAAAATATACAATAACTTTGAGGGGTACAATGTCAACTGGAAGAGAAATACCAAATTTTCAAAAGGAATGCAGAGTCATTTGTTCTTCTTACCACCATTTTTTCCTTTTCTTTGATTTTTACATGTAATGAGGATTACAGAAAACTGCTTTATTAAATGTCTATCTACTAAATACTTTCTATGCAATTTCAGGAATGATAAATTAACCTTTATGTCTCCATATACATATGACTCTCCAGAAGGATTTAAGTTTAATACATTAAGTATATACTCTGTTGAAGTGTTAGGCATTATTGGTGTTAAAATATCATAATAATTTTTAAAGAATAGTTGACATTTTTCAGTACCTCCCAAATGCTAGGAATATTCTGAAAACTTTAATTTATCAACATATTTAAACATCAACAACCCTGTTATCATCTCCTTAACCAGGGCTCAGGAACTTGTCTGAGATCCTCTAGTTAGTAAGTAGTAGAACTAGGATTTGAGCAGGGCAGTCAGCTCCAGAGTCCATGCTCTTAACTATAATGCTAAACCTCAAAAATTTATACTCAGGTTAGAAGATTATAATTTATACGTAATATAGAATAACTATAGCGTAAAAACAAGTAATGCATAATGGAGTAAAAATATCTGTGTGGTAAAGAGTTGGGGCTTTGGAGAGCATGCACACCTGGGCTCTATCTCCAACTGGCCCTGCGGACCTCAACATTGACTACATATTAGAGTCACTTGGAAAGCTTTTAAAAATTCCCACACCCAGATTGTACCCCAGACATTGAATCAGAATCAATGGGGATGGGGCTCAGAAATCAGTATTTTTTAATGCTTCTTTGGTGATTCCAATATGCTGCCAAGGATAAAACTCACTGTTTAAATTAGACAAATTACTTAATCTTTTCATGATTAAATTTACTTCTCCACAAGGAAAATATGTATAACACCTGCCATAGTGCCTGATTACCTAATAGTCAACATATATATTTTATGTATTTTCCCACCTCTACTCTCAGTGAGCCACAATTGTTCCAAATAGAGAAAGAGTCATGGAGGTCAGAGTTTTCTGGAAGGGTCCATGAAGCAGATAATATGTGAACAGGCCTTTAGGGACAGATAAGATTTGAAGACCTGGAAGGAGTGGTACTTTAGGTACAGTGAAGAGATGGGCCTGACAGGAGTGAGCCAGAAGAACTGACTGCATATCTTGGAGAAAACGAGGGTCTGCTATGTGAAAGATGTTTCTAAAGTTTCTGGTTGTAGAGAATGGCCGTACTGCTAAAAGAAACAACAGAAAATTTAGGAGAGATGCTGGTTTTTGAATGGCAAAATAAAGATTATCTTCCTCAAAAGTGCTTATTTTTCCATCCAATTCTGTTTTATAATTTCTTTTTTTTTTTTTTTTTTTTTTTTTTTTTTTTTTTTTTGAGACGGAGTCTCGCTCTGTCGCCCAGGCTGGAGTGCAGTGGCGGGATCTCGGCTCACTGCAAGCTCCGCCTCCCGGGTTCACGCCATTCTCCTGCCTCAGCCTCCCAAGTAGCTGGGACTACAGGCGCCCGCCACTACGCCCGGCTAATTTTTTTTTTTGTATTTTTAGTAGAGACGGGGTTTCACCGTTTTAGCCGGGATGGTCTCGATCTCCTGACCTCGTGATCCGCCCGCCTCGGCCTCCCAAAGTGCTGGGATTACAGGCGTGAGCCACCGCGCCCGGCCTGTTTTATAATTTCTTTTTCATTCAGAATATATCTTGCTTTCTAATTCTAATTCTGTTCTGGCAAGCATGGTTTGTCATTAATAACCAACCTCCTCCACATCTTTGATATAGACACAGCCTAAAGTTTAATCTTTGTTGATGTATTTCTCAAGCAAACCTCCTTAGATAAATGGTAGTCTTTCCTTCACAGAGGTTCACATTGAGTGGCTGTGTAGCATCACGTTGGATGGAGTCAGAAGAGGCCTTAGAGTGTGTCCTTTCTCCCTCCCTTCCCCGTCACTTTTTTTTTTTTTTTAACAGAAGAGGCAATCTGAGGCCCAAAGAGTTAAATAACAGAAGTGGGATCATGCTGTTAATGACAGGGCAGGCCCAGAACTGAGGCCTCTGAGTCTTCAATTTGCCTATCCTTTTATCATATTAGGCTAGGTCACCACAAAATAATCAGCGGAAAATGAAATACAGCCCCACATCCTCTTTGGTAGCACTTATAGGAAAACTCACAAACTGATTGTTATAATGAATTTATTTTAAAAAGCTGAATTTACTTAGCGAGCTCCTGTGTTGACAGAGACTATGTTTAAGCAAAGATTGTTAATTTTCTTTCTAATAGGATAATGATATGTTGAGGGCATAAATGTGTTTCTGCTAATGAGATTCTATTTAATAATCTTTTGAAAGGCTGTTTTCATCAGATCTCAGAATCTCAGAGCATATGCATCCTACCCTTACTCCAGACACTGTACCCCTCAACCTTGCTGACAGCTAATTTTGTAAAAACTGAGGCCCACTTTGGCCACTTGCTGCCAAGGATGAAGAAACAAGTGGCTAATTGCGTGCACAGAGATTCAAATGTGGGTGCAATTAGTTTGTGGACATGAAATCGCATGCACATAAAAAGGAAGCCTGATTGGGTCTCTGAAAACTTGGCCCCAGTGGTTCATACTACTCTATATTTATACAGCCATAACTCTGCATTTTTGCATTGGTTAACAATTCCTTTTATTTATTGTGAGTTAAATACTGCTTGAAATAGGCATCTGTATAACATCTGCAAAACTGGTGCTCTTGACATTTTAAATAATACCAGCTCTTTACTAAAATTGTCCAAAAAAGTACCATAAATTCTATGTTATATATTTGAACACTGAATGAATCAAAGCTGTGATTTCTGAAGTAAAGTGTGACATATGTTTTAGGAAACAACATTCTGAGGAATGAAATTGTCTTTTAGGAGAAGTCATTTGACTTATAATTATAGCTCTATATTTAATGCAAGTTAGATTTCAGCCATTTCAGTGAATCAGATTGAATGATACAACGGAGGAAAAAAGTTCAACTCTGATTTAGGGTTGAGGTGAGATAGGAAATCATGTAAATGTTGGCACTAATTCCTGACTCTGTAATGTTATATAATACAAAGCATTTTTTAAGAAGACAAAAACATCTATATTTTCAA
The DNA here is from genome assembly GCF_000001405.40 of Homo sapiens. NCBI lineage: Eukaryota > Metazoa > Chordata > Mammalia > Primates > Hominidae > Homo > Homo sapiens. The sequence continues at coordinate 121,239,604 of NC_000007.14, read as the reverse complement.
TATTAGTGTTAAAGTATAAGTTGTCATAATTCCTTGCTAAAATAAGGTAGGATAAATTTTTTTAAATTGTTTACATATCATAAAATGCAATCTGAAATATTTTCCTTAAAGTTAATTCTCATTCAATGACCACTGTAGAAATTTTTATTTTTCCTAATTAGAATAATTATTTTTTCTTTCTTAAGCAACAGATTTAATTCTAGGTTGTATCTTACAGTTAAACTATTTCCTAAAAAATAGAAATCAATTTAAGAATTAAAAAAATACAATCATTCAAAAGTTTAATGGCTGATGTTATTGAAAATGGTATATTGAGATCAATACATAGGCAAAGTGAAAAGAAAAAGATCCAGTTTTGCCAAATAGCTGTAATGTGCTTTTAAAATAAGATTTTCAAACCAGTCTATCTTTGGCCATTAAAACTAAATCCAGAGCTCCTAAATCAACTTTCTCCCAATTTTGTCCACTATAACAACTTCTTTCAATAGGAGGGAATCCTGCTACTAAGGAAGGAAATCATCTCTAGCAGCAAGTGATACATTCTTGCAGACTGCTATCCTGACCTCACTTGTTAAGTTTTTGAGTCTTTGGGCCTTTTGGAGCTTGAGGATGGAGCAGTTGGTTGTCGTGATTGTGCCCTGGCTGCTCATAGTCTTCTGTGGATGGGAGGGAGGTTGGATCTTGGTTTTAGTTCAGCAATCATTTTAAAATCTTATATTAGACATTGGAAGATGGATAAGGGACAATCTCTTCTCTAGAGAAGCCTATAATCTAGGTAAGCCATCAGTAAAAACATATTGCTCGTGCACCCTTGATGTATTAATGAGTACACTGTAATATATATATATAATATATATTCCTATATTTATATATTTTATCAATTATAAAACATAAAAAGAAAAATGATCAGGTAAAATATAAATGCATATATATTTTAATCTTTACTGGCTTCACCCTATGAATGGCCCTGTGCCACTTCCTCCTCTTCGTAAGGAACATCACTTCATTTTGGAGACTAAGTGAGAAACATGTAAATACTTAACATAATATGGTAAGAGCTGTTGTAGAGATGTGCCCAGGATGCACTGGGAAGAAGCTAAGCTGGGAATCTGGTGGTGAAAAAAGGCTTCCCGGAGAGGACTTCCAGCATCAGAAGCTGGGCAAAGATGGGAAGAGGACTTGTAGGTACAGGGAACAGTGTGGACAAAAACCTGAAGTTCTAAAGGGGCACTCTCAACATAAAGAGAGGCAAAGAGGCTGGGAGGAGGCTGGAAATATAGAAATGGGCCAGATTATGGAGGCTTCAAATTTTCAGGCTAAGGAGCGTGCACTTGATTTGTGAGTCAATTTGGGGCCTTCTCTAAGGAGACCTAGCTCCTTAAGTACCAGAAGGCCACCGTTCTATGGCGGCCTCACCCACAATGTCCAGGCACAAAGCCTAACATAAGTTAGCGTACATTTAGTGAACAGAACAAGCTGCCACTTCTTGAAGAATCCCAGTAATGTACCTTGAACTTTTTGTTGAAGAACTTTTGTCTTTGTCCAGTAGGAGGAATACAACTGTTTAATGATTTCTCGTAAATTGTCATCTGATAAAAAATATTTAACTGGACATATCAGTGTCTCCTTTGTATGGAATAATATATATCTCATTTAGCAGAGAATCACAAATCACACCACCTGACACACCATAATGGGTAAATCCCTCTCTATTCCCTGACTGTAATTTATTATTTAGAACACATGTTCAAGAATGGTGACATGCCCACGTTTGTTAACTGTGCGTGCCAAATTGCAATTTGTCCTGCCCATTTGGGGAACTCATTTCCCATTCAAGCTGTGGTGTGAAGTTCATGGCAAGGGTAGAAAAGCTCCTGAGTGTTTTTTCAGACCTTTTTAGAGGAAGGGAGACTTGGGGTCAGGAGGACAGAGCAGTAACCAGGAAACTTGGAGAAGATGCTCTCTGTTCCTCTAACGGCTTTGAAGGCATTTTTAGTCCCAACTTTGGCTTGACCCCAACATCTCCACTGAAAGAAGATTGCTGGGGAAGGAGAGAAATAGGGAATGTTGAGAGTGGCACCAAAGATGTATCTCATTCTAGTTCTGCTCAGTGCTTAGGCAGGATTTAACACAGTAATTAAATTTGATGTCACAATTTTCTTGCCTCTATAAATGACCGATATATGAGGGATACTAGTGATCATGCCCCCTAACTTTTTTTTAGTGAAAAGAGATAATTTAAAACTGAACTTGCATACTTTGCAGTTCTTTGGTTCACACCAGATATTTATTTTCTAACTACTATGTACAAATTATGGTGCCAAATGAATTAGTATAATGCAAACTAGTCAGGCTCTCTGCCCTCATGAAGCTGACATCCTGGGAAAACTGACATTAAACAATTAATTCAATACTTGGTCATTTAAATAATTGTGGTAACTGCTACGGAAGAAAATTACTGAGTGCTATCAACTATATAATAAAGAAACAAATCAGAGGCTCAGGGAAGGCTCTCTGGCAAGTGTAACATGGGTAACATATCTGCAGATGAATATGGATTAACTGGGCAAAAAGGGGAGAAGAAAATAATTGATTAATCAAAGTATTTCAAATATTAAAACAATGCACTTACATTAATTATATGCTTTATAGTTCATTGTCAATAAAAAGTAATGCCCTTGTTTTTTTATAAAAGGATAGTTTAAATAAGCATACACTTATCTATACCAAATTATTCTTTTTTTAGAGAAGTGATATCCAATGTGATAGTCACCTTTCATGTCCCCAGATGGACATCTTTTTAGTTCAGACTGTAAAATGGCTTCAATGTAGTCAGAAGAAATAGGCTGTAACCCACAGGTTTCCTCTGGATGAATCAGCAAACCACAATCCTGCATTAAAATAATAGATATTAGTTGTTGTATTAATTAACTTGACCCATAATAATAAAATCTAAAAAATAAGACTTTATGTGGCAAATAACCTTTATGGATAAAAGGGAGCAAATATTCCTTATCTTTCCCCTGCTAGCTTATCAATAGTTGTTTGTGCTAGAAGTAGATAACAATTTAATCTTTATTTTGACATTGATATTCATGTCATTGTTCTGCCAATTAAAAAATGAATGCAAGTTTTACTTTAAAAATATATCTGTGTCAACTCATTAAAAACAAAACAAACTATAATAGAGGACAATACAGCAAGTGGAAAAGACGGTTCATGTGAGAAGGGAAATGGGAACTATTTGGAGAGAATTTAATTTAACAGATGAATTTCATTTTAACAAACTTTTATTAAGAATTCATGATACACCAGAGTGGAATCAGATGCATGTATTTTATTCAAAGCACATTCTTATATTTACAACAGTGGGTAACATTTCACTGCACTGAATATCATTATAGAGGCATGTGCTATACTAAGCAATGTTTTCAATAGTCTGACAGATGTAGAACAGAACGATAGTGTATTGCATCTCTGAAACTTCTCTCCTTCTTCCTCTGCCCCATCCACTGAGCTGCACCCGCAGGCTGGACCAGTCTCATTTTCTCTTAGCTTATTCTGCAAAGCTGTTGGCCCTGTACCTGTCCTATGTCCTTCTATCCTACTTCATGTGGTTCCACTGCCACTCTTCTCACTGGGTTCTCTCAGTCTATCACAATTTAGGGCGTGTTAAAAGCCTATCATCTAGATTGGGATTGCTTTCCCCCTAATTTTGCATGGAGACATCTTATATTTTAGGTCTCAGCAAGGTCTTCCTGAAACTCTAGCACAATTACGTCTCCCTACTTTTGTTCATGTCAGCTCCCCCTTTGTTTCCTTTATGCTCTTCACCGTTTGATAACTGTTTGTTAGTTTGTTTATTATTTGTCTGGGTCTTTTCTACTATACTGAATGTGTCATGGGAACAAATAATTATTCCACTCACATATGGAACCAGTACTTATCATACAACAAACAGTAAACATTTATTGAATGCATAAAAAGTTAGACTTTATTGTGTCCCTCATTATATGAGAAATTCTCAACAATGGAGAGAAACAGTGGATTTGACCTCTTCTTTGCTGTGTAACTCTGGTTCTAATCAGCAATTTGTGGTTACATTCTCTCATATTCTCAACTGTCCTAACCTCAGATTCCCAGATCTCATACAAAAAGGTCCAGGATATTAAGGAACAAGAGGAATGGTGGGGGTGAGTGAACTTAAAATCTTGATTCAGTGTACATATTTTCATTTCTTAATTTATGACTAAGCATGGAGTTTAAGATACTGACTAAAATTAGAAAAATGATTTGTATTAAAGTGCTTATTATAATAAAGCAATAAAAAACCACAAAGTTTATTATAATGTGGGGAGATGTAGTCTAAATAAACATCTATAAATGATACTTGTTAGTATACCCGTGTATGTGTGTGATATCTATCCAACCATTTATTTTTAGTGGAGACTGGATCTTTTATAAGGCCAGAAAAAAGTGTCATGATTCATTTTGCAAAAATATTTTTATATGAAATGTTAGAGGGAGCAATGAGAAGCAGTTACCATTATACATTGCTAATGGGAGTGCAAGTTAATTCAGTTGCTTTGGAGAGCAGTTTATACTAAAATAAAAAGTGCAGAGACTCTGCAACCCTGGAGCCTTCTGGGTCTACTCTAGAAAAACATAAGGGATATGTATAAGGATAAATCTAAATGGACTAAGTAACATGGAGATATTTTCAAGACATATGGGTAAGAAAATATCCAAAAGTTATAGAACAATTCATGCTATCTGAAATACACACGTGTACGTGTGTGTTCACTCAATCAACAATGTACTAAATATTGATTTTGTGGGAACAGGTATGTCTCTGTTAAGAGAATAAAAGGAAATCTGGATGACGGTAGTGTTCCTGGACTGTAGAATGTGTTCCTGGACTGGAGAATGTGTTCCTGGACTGGCAGTGGATGTCAAGGAGGCTTTAGCTCTATCTAGAATGCTTTACTTTTTATTTAGGGAGAATGTTATTTTTCTAGTACTTGTGAAACTCAATCTTAGTTTGAAATATTATAAACAACTTTCACCACCTCAGCTGGAGACTTGGCTGTTCCTCCATTCTAGGAGGTACCATGTTAGACGTTACTTTTAAATGCAAAGTATTTATCTGTTTATAGTTCTATATGCTATAATGTCATCTAAACTTGGGTACTTCAGACTGAGATGTTGTGTTCAATTTATTAATAAAAATATATTTTAGCATATATATACCCATGCAAATAATGTTTCAACATTCATGAACCGGCTGTGTGACACTAAGTCACTTGATCTAGATTTCTCATTACAAAATGGTGAAGGCTGGGGAGAGGAGAAGGCAAAGAATTGCATTAGGTAAGCTCAAGTCCTGAGCTGACTGCCTTAGGTACCTACGCCATACCCATTCTCCTTTCTTCCTTTTAGCAGAAAAACCTGTATTTTGTTGGAGTAATGTGCCCAGCATTAAAAAAATTGATTTCCCAGTCTCTCATAGCTAAAAGGAGTCAGGAGACATAGTTCTAGTCAAAGAAATGTAAGTGAACACCAGCTAGGGAGTTCTAGAAAAGTTTTCCTTTCCTGATGCCACTTTTTCTTGATCACTCTGTTTCCTCTTTCTGCTTAGAATATGAATGTAAGCCTGAGAATGAGCAGCCATCTTGTGGCCATGAAGCAACCATAGGCAGAAAAAATAGAATGAGCCTAGGGTATTGGTGATGCTGTGGAGCTACCTCTACACTTTTTACTATGAAAAACAAACTCCTGCTTGGTCAAGCCACTATAGAAACGTAAGATGCAGCCAAATTTCTCTATTCCTCAAAGGGTCTCTGAAACTTATAATTTAAATGCCACATGAATCTTTTTGAGTATTTCTTTAGACCTTAAAAGTGATTAATCACAGTAATAACATTTAAAAAAAGGAAAATTCTCATTAGTGTCTCTCATTTCTTTCTTCACTGGGATGATCAGCAATTTGGTCAGGTTTAGGCATATTGAATACATCAGTTACTAAAAAGAATAAACAACAGTATTGTTGTTGTTTTGAGACAGAGCCTTCCTCTGTCGCTCAGGCTGGAGTACACTGGTACCATCATGGCTCACTGCAGCTTCAAACTCCCAGGCTCAAGCAGTCCTCCCATCTCAGTTTCCCAAGTAGCTGGGACTGTAGGCATATGCTACTGTGCCCAGCTAACAGCTCTTTTTTGGTCTTAAGTGTCATCTCTTGGAGCCACAGATCTATAGACACAGAAAATGTAGTATTTAGCAGAGTTCTGTAAATCAGCATTAGCTCCAGAAATCTTCACACTTAGAGTGAATCATTTTGTTGGAGACTTCAAAAGGAAGCGCCAAACTCCAGAGTAGATTGTCATAGTTCTCAATTGAGTGCAACAATATATTTAGTAGGAATTTTCTTGTTCATACGTGTGCAAAGTAAATATGCTTAGTACACAATTCAAAAAATTTACTTAACTTTTCATGAGGTGCTAGAGTAACTAACCGGAATCATTATGATGTTCTTGGTTTTTCCTCCTGCCTGATCACAGTTTCTCATTATCTATTCCTCTGGACACCCACTTCATTCCTTACAGAATTATTTGTCCACAAAAGAATGAGTAATATTTCTCATTTTAAATGTGATATTGCTGTATTTTTAAAGCAATACTGAATTGGACTATTTGAGCTGATCTGTGTCTTTAAATCTTACCTACTTCTATTGACCCCATGGAATTATTTCTCTGAGATGAAAGAATTCTTCCCTTCTCTGTCTAAACAATTTTAAATGCCCACCTAAATTTTAAAATATGCAATTACTCCCTCCAGCACATAGCTCCTTCCAAAGAGACCCAATTCCTCCCCTTTCCCTGGGCTACTGCCATTTCCAGTAAGTTAGCAATGATCTCTCAAAACGTGATGATTCTGGCATGGCCAAATCCCTCTGGGAAGGCAGGGAGTTCCCTTCCAGACTAGGGCTGTTCCTTTCCCCAGAAGAACTGACATTCCTGGGGAGATAAATTCACTCTTAGCCCACCTGAAGTAAGATATATTTGAGATCTTATGATGTATTTTCCCCAATGTCCTGATGAACTGCTGATCAAAGGCATCTGCTGGTTCTCTTGAGCCCGAACACTTACTAAGCCTAAGCCATGTGACTGGACACTAGCAGATCCCACATCTCATATCTTTAGCACCCTCATGCATGGACCAAAATGCAAGGCATGCTATTCATCTCTCCTCTAATCCAATTTCACTGATCTGCTACTCCCATCCATGGTAAGCAAACCCTTCTAAAATCTCAAAGGCTTCACGCAATGTTCCCTCCATCTCCTCACCTTCCCCAAAACCCATCCCGGCACAGGGAAAACAGGTGAGGGGGAATGGAAAAAAAACTTGCCCTGCGACTTTGTGGGAAAAGACAACTTGCCCTCTTTCTCTGTAGCCATCTCCAGGGAAGGCTGCCTGCGTAGTCAGGAAGTTTACTTCTTCTTGTCTTCCAACTGCCTCTTTCAAACCATTATTCCATTGTGTTACCCTCTACTGTGGCTCATTTCACCTGGCTCCTCCTTGTGGCAATCTTCTATCAACATCTTAATTATGCTTCCATGTACCAATGGGACACCTTAGCCATTGTCATTCTCTCCATTTCACAATTTGCTATCAAAGGTCTGTATGGATTCATTCTATTTCATTCAACAATATTTTTGTACAAATGCTAGAATATTTCATTCAAGCCAGGGATGCTCCATCTGTAATTTTAAATTCTAATTCCTTTTCTCAAAATAAAATATACTTTTCTTCTACCTTATTCCTGCCTCTTCTGCAGTCATGCAGAACTTCCATTCCCATGATTCCTAACTCTTTCAATTTGTGTCTACACTGTTCATTTCTATACCTCAACAATCCGCATCTTCCTTTTTTTATTTTACTTATGGTACACAGCAACTCTCCAATCCTGGAACAATCCAATCTATCTCCATCCAACGTTCTACATACCTGTCAGTGACGCCGGCAAAAATCACACAAATGTAAAGATAAATGCCAGACACATTTCCTGATGGTCTCTCAGTACTGCCTGGAAATCTTGGTTCTATTATCCTAGTTGGAACATTTCCCCACTCTTCACAAAGGCTACTTCAAACCTTCATCATTCTCCTTAAGCTCCCTCATTTCTACATCTCTGTTGGTCTCATTAGATGACCTTGTCTTCTACTTCATAAAAAATTAGAACCCATTAGACAGTAATTTGCTCAAATTCGTGCTGACAATAAGACAACCATGCCCAGATATCTCTTCTTATGTTGTAGTAAAGTAAATCTTCTTCCATCTGTGAAGGTTGCTTCTTTCACTTGTATTTTTCATCTCATTCTCTTCTACTTCTGGAAATGCTCACCTTTTGCTTTTGTTAACACTCCTTATTACCAAATACCAACTCAAAGAAGATTCTTTCTGTTACCCAGCCTTTAAGGTCTGACCTTTTCTATAGTCATGCCCTTAGTGCTCTTACTTTGCATTCTGGGAGATATCATTCATCTTCATGGCATAACCACAGCTTGAATGATCACGACTCCCAAACTGGATCCCTGTCTAGGCCACTCTCAGGGCTTCCAGACACATAGTCATCTGTTTCCTGGACATCTCCCTTGGATGTCTCAGATGTACCTCAATTTCAATATAACTATGACAGATATCATAGGTTGAGTCAAAACCCACTCTGATCTTGCTTTTCCTTGTTTTGCTCTCCTAAAGAGAACACTAATAACATGTCTCCCCTGTTTTTCTTACAGCCAAGAGTGGCCACTGACACATTTCTGGTCAGTGAAATGTAAGTATAAACTTGCAGAGAATTGCAGAGAAAGCCTGTTTTTCTGGTACAGAGGCTGTTCCTTTCTCCTCTCTTGTTTCTTCTTCTCTGCTTGTGAAACAGGAAATTGATAGCTGGAAGAACAACAACTATCTTAAATTATGGAAGAAAGGCCAAAAACTTTGTGGAGACTTTAGTGCTGACATCCTTGATCTTCTGAAACCATTTTGATCTGTGCTGACATTCTTGATCTTCTGAAACCATTTTGATATGTGCTGATGTTCTTGATCTGCTGCAAATGTCTAATTCTGGACTTTTTATTGGATAAGAAGAAAATATCTCTTATTTATTTAAGCTACTATTAGTCAGGTTTGCTGTTACTCACCAAACAGCTGAAATTGAACTTTAAAAATCATTCCAAAATCTGTTCCATCCCCAATAACCTCAATACTGTTGAGCTTGGAAGATTCGGTGCCCAAGCCAGACATTTCAGTTTTCCAAGTTTCCCTTCTCTTCATTGCCCCTAGCAGCCAATCAATCACCAAATATTCATATCAACTTTCTCTTCTTGATTTCTTTTTTTCTTGATTTCAATGGATACTATTTTGATCTGTGTCTTCATGTTCTTTTATCATGGGAATTGCCTTGACCTCTTAATGGGTCTCCTCTGCTACAGTTCTATGGACCACCAATATGTCTATTTTCCATGTTGTTGCTAACGTCATCTTCCTGAAATGCAAAAGTTTTAAACTCCCTTTGTTGCTTGAAATAATTCAAGAGATTGCATTGCATTCAGGGTAAAGTTTGGCTGTGGTCCTCCTCTTTGGCTAATCTCCATCCAGTCTTCACCCCATACTCTGCTTGACTTGAATAACTTCTACTTTGTCCAGTGCTACTTTCTGTGATGTTTCCATAAGGTTAACTGAAAGCATTTCCTTCTCAAGGTCTGTTTTGAAGCACTCACATTTCTTTTTTTAGGACGTGAACTAAAAAAACAAACATTTTAGAATAAGAGAAAAATTAAATTGCATTGAAAGATGTACTTAGTATAAGATGCACAAATATTGTGTTAGGGAATTTTAGCTTCCATCATTAGAAAATGTTTCATCAGCTCCTGCCACAAACAAATAAAATTTCAAATTTTCAAATTTTCTTATAAATTAATTATGGTCAACTGAGAAGTTTCCTGGGTGCCATATATAAGTACTGTAAAGTGAAAATCATGCAATATTTGGATTTTGAGATTTCTAATGGTTTCCCATTACAAGGACCTTCATTTCATTTCTACTACGAAAATCAATCTATAAGACTCATAATTTTGATTTTGAAACTTTTTTCTCCTTTTGGCAAGAAGACTGATTTCTTAGACATATGCTGAGAAGCAAGATAACACATCCTGAGTTGTTTGTGATTCATGCTGAAGATGTTTATCATGGAAAATATATCATATAGAGCATAACTTTAGGAGATATTCAAATATGGCCATTTATGCTATTTAGGCTATAAGCATTTGTCTATTTTTTTATTCTTTTAAAAATATCATATTCACAAATTGGGAAGGAGACATTAACAAATCTATTTTAAAAATTTGTACAGATTTATGAGGTACATGTGAAATTTTCTTACATGGGTATATAATGCTTAGTGGCCAAGTAAGGGTATTTAAGTTGTCCATCATCTGAGTATAATACATTTTTGTTAGCTGTAGTCACCCTACTCTGATATCAAACATTGAATTTATTCCTTCTGTCTTACTGTATGTTTGTACCCTTTAACCCACTTGTCTTCATCCTCCCTCCTTACCCCCACTCATTCTTTCCAGACTCTGTTATCTATCTTTTCACTCTCTACCACCATGTGATCAATGTTTTAGCTCCCACATGTAAGTGAGAACATGTAATATTTGTCTTTTTGTGCCTGGTTTATTTGTCTTAAGATAATAACCTCCAGTTCCATCGATGTTGCTACAAATAAAGTAATTTCATTTTTTATGGCCAAGTAATGGTCCATGTTCCACATTTTCTTTATCCATTCATCCACTGATAGGCACTTATGCTGATTTCATATCTTTGCTATTGTGAATAGTGCTGCAACATATGAGTGCAGGTATCCCTTTGATAAACGGATGTTTTTTCTTCTGGTTAGATACCCAGTAGTGGAATTGCTGGATTGGATGGTAATTCTATTTTGGATTTTTTTTTTTTTTGAGAAATCTCCATATCATTGTCCATAGTAGCAGTACTAGTTTATATTCCCACCAAGAGTGTATAAGAGTTCTCTTTTCTTCACATCCTTGCCAACATCTATTTTTTTTGTCTTTTTAATAATAGTCATTCTGACTGGAGTTAGGTAATATCTCACTGTGGTTTTCATTTGCATTTCTCTGATGATTAGTGATATCGAGCATTTTTTCATGTACCCATTGGCGATTTGTATGTCTTCTTTTGAGAAATGTCTATTTCTATAAGTTGCCCACTTGTTGATGGAATTATTTGCTTTTTCACTTGTTGTTTGAGTTCCTTGTGTATTCTAGATATTAGTCCCCCATCAGGAGAATAGTTTGCAAATATTTTCTCTCATTCAGCAAGTTATCTCTTGATTTTCTTTTGCTGTGCAGAAGCTTTCTAGTTTAATTAAGTCTTCTTAGTCTATTTTTGGTTTAGTTGCCTGTGATTTTGAAGTCTTAATCATAAATTATTTGCCTAAACCAATGTCCAGGAGACCTTTCCCTAGGTTTTCTTCTAGTATTTTTACAGTTTCTGGGATTACATTTAAGTCTTTAATCCATTTTGAGTTGATTTTTGTGACAAATCTTAAGTAGTCTGCCAATTATGAATTGTCTGTTCTGCTATAAGTTTATTCCAAAAATATTTTGCAAATCTCAGGATATTAGTTGCTACTTGGAGTTCTAACCTGCCTTCCAACTTACCACAACTAGTATAGATTTGTCAAGCTCCTCAAGGATAAAACTGGAGCATAAGGATAATTGAAATAGATGTATTTTTAAAGCATTTATTACATGCCTGGCATGTAAGTTATTTACACATATTATCTTATTTTTCTCACAACAACTCCTATCTTCATTTTAGGAATAAGAAAATAGAAATGCTAAATTACTGAGAGGTAGGTTTTAAATGGAGGTTCATCTCACTTTAGACCTCTGCCGCTTCATCTTAATATATAGCTGACTTTCCCAAAAGCAGAGCAAATCATTGGTTTTATAGTCTAATTTCAATCTTCCTGTGAATTAATCAATACTTTCTCTTTCACCTTTACTCCATCTCCACACAAATTGCAGTTGAAAGTTGGTTCCTTAAAATGGACTTGCATTGCTTTATGTCTTTTCAGGTACAGTCACACCAAGGCTGTTTTTGGTATAAATCCATCCACGATGTAAGCCCAGATCAGAAATTGTGTTACAATCTTTCTGTTTCTAGCACTTGTCAGAGTCCTCAGCATGTGATAAACATTCAAAACACGGCTTCTGATTGAAGCTATTGTCAGTATATAGGATCAATGGAAGGAGAAGAAACGGATGGATGTAGGTGTGGGGCCCAGCTGCAGAGAAAGGGCCACTGGAATAGAGAAAAAAGGGGAGAACATAAGGGTAAACATGACCTATATGGCCAACGCTGGGTTCCTGCTAGCATGGATATTTGGGGCACTGGAATGACCTCCAATATAATTCTGGCTCTAATGTTTTTGAGTCTCTACAGAATAATTGTCTAAATAATTCCCATATGATCTATTTAGCTCTAGAATTTTGTGTTTGTGGTTCTCCCTTTTGAGAAATTTCCAAATGGATTCCTTGTACAGACTGGCATCTTGTTCTGAAGGAATGAATTATTTTCTGTGTTTACATGGTCTTTAAATTTAACAACTCTCCTTGCACTGTAGTCAATCAGCCATAAAATACTGAGTAGCTATTGTCTGATTCACAGTATCAGACATTCAATAAACATTTATAGAATTAGCTTATGTTTACATTAGCAATAAATAATTAATGATAATCTATCTAAAGTCACCCTTGAGATATCACATTTATCCCAAAATTGAATGTTTTTCAAGAAGAGAGCAATTTATGTAAATTAATATTAAGAGAGATTTTTCTCCTTTATGGAGGGCATTTGAAATATCTGTAAAAATAATTGCATATAAATTTAAACCAGCAATTATACTGCTAAGACTTCATCCTACAAATCTACTTTACAAAGTACACAAAGATAGATGTACAAGGAAACTGACTGGAGCACTTCATAAAATATTAATAACACAAAACTAAACACATCTCAAGTGTCCATCAATACAAAACTGGTTAAATAACTTATGCTACATCCAGATAATCAAATATTTTGTAATTCTTAGAAAAGATGGATGTGGAGGACATCCATTCCAAGATGGCTGAACAGGAACAGCTCCGGTCTGCAGCTCCCAGCATGATCAACGCAGAAAACGGGTGATTTCTGCATTTCCAACCAAGCCTCGGCTGGTGACACCCAGGCAAACAGGATCTGGAGTGGACTTCTAGCAAACTCCAACAGACCTGCAGCTAAGGGACCTGATTGTTAGAAGAAAAGCTAACGAACAGAAACGAATAGCACCAACATCAACAAAAAGGACATCCACACCGAAACCCCATCTGTAGATTACCAACATCAAAGACCAAAGGTAGATAAAACCATAACGATGGGGAAAACCCAGAGCAGAAAAGCTGAAAATTCTAAAAACCAGAGCACCTCTTCTCCTCCAAAGGATCACAGTTCCTCGTCAGCAACGGAACAAAGCTGGATGGAGAATGACTTTAATGAGTTGACAGAAGTAGGCGTCAGAAGGTCGGTAATAACAAACTTCCCTAAGCTAAAGGAGCATGTTCAAACCCATCACAAGGAAGCTAAAAACCTTGAAAAAAGGTTAGACGAATGGCTAACTAGAATAAACAGTGTAGAGAAGACCTTAAATGACCTGATGGAGCTGAAAACCATGGCATGAGAACTTCGTGATGCATACACAAGCTTCAATACCCGATTCGATGAAGTAGAAGAAGGGTATCAGTGATTGAAGATCAAATGAATGAAATGAAGAGAGAAAACAAGGTTAGAGAAAAAAGAGTAAAAAGAAATGAACAAAGCCTCCAAGAAATATGGGACTATGTGAAAAGACCAAATCTATGTTTGATTGGTGTACCTGAAAGTGATGGGGAGAATGGAACCAAATTGGAAAACACTCTTCAGGATATTATCCAGGAGAATTTCCCCAACCTAGCAAGGCAGGCCAACATTCAAATTCAGGAAATACAGAGATCACCACAAAGATACTCCTCAAGAAGAGAAACCCCAAGACACATAATTGTTAGATTCACCAAGGTTGAAATGAAGGAAAAAATGTTAAGGGCAGCCAGAGAGAAAGGTCAGGTTACCCACAAAGGGAAGGAAGCCCATCAGACTAACAGTGGATCTCTCGGCAGAAACCCTATAAGCCAGAAGAGAGTGGGGGCCAATATTCAACATTCTTAAAGAAAAGAATTTGCAACCCAGAATTTCATATCCAGTCAAACTGAGCTTCATAAGTGAAGGAGAAATAAAATCCTTTACAGACAAGCAAATGCTGAGAGATTTTGTCACCACCAGGCCTGCCTTACAGGAGCTCCTGAAGGAAGCACTAAACATGGAAAGAAACAACCGGTACCAGCCACTGCAAAAACATGCCAAATTGTAAAGACCATCGATGCTATGAAGAAACTGCATCAATTAACAGGCAAAATAACCAGCTAACATCATAATGACAGGCTCCAATTCACACAAAACAACATTAACCTTAAATGTAAATGGGCTAAATGCCCCAATTAAAAGACACAAATGGGCAAATTGGATAAAGAGTCAAGACCCATCAGTGTGCTGTATTCAGGAGACCCATCTCACATGCAGAGATACACATAGGATCAAAATAAAGGGATGGAGGAATATTTACCAAGCAAATAGAAAGCAAAAAAAAAAAAAAAAAAAAAAGCAGGGGTTGCAATCCTAGTCTCTGATAAAATAGACTTTAAACCAACAAAGATCAAAAGGGACAAACAAGGCCGTTACATAATGGTAAAGGGATCAATTCAACAAGAAGAGCTAACTATCCTAAATATATATGCACCCAATACAGGAGTACCCAGATTCATAAAGCAAGTCCTTAGTGACCTACAAAGAGACTTAGATTTCCATACCATTATAATGGGAGACTTTAATACCCCACTGTCAATATTAGACAGATCAATGAAACAGAAGGTTAACAAGGATATCCAGGACTTGAACTCAGCTCTGCACCAAGCAGAACTAACAGACATCTACAGAACTCTCCACCCCAAATCAACAGAATATACATTCTTCTCATCACCACATAGCACTTATTCTAAAATTGACCACATAATTGGAAGCAAAGAACTTCTCAGTACATGTAAAAGATCAGAAATCACAACAAACTCTCTCTCAGACCACAGTGCAATCAAGTTAGAACTCAGGATTAAGAAACTCACTCAAAACCGCACAACTACATGGAAACTGAACAACCTGCTCCTGAATGACTACTGGGTAAATAACAAAATGAAGGCAGAAATAAAGATGTTCTTTGAAACCAATGAGAACAAAGACACAGTGTTCCAGAATCACTGGGACACATTTAAAGCAGTGTGTAGAGGGAAATTTATAGCACTAAATGCCCAAAAGAGAAATCAGGAAAGATCTAAAATTGACACCCTAATGTCACAATTAAAAGAACTAGAGAAGCAAGAACAAATTCAAAAGCTAGCAGAAGGCAAGAAATAACTAAGATCAGAGCAGAACTAAAAGAAATAGAGACACAAAAATTCCTTCAAAAAAAAAATCAATGAATCCAGAAGCTGTTTTTTTCAAAAGATCAACAAAATTGATAGACTGCTAGCAAGACTAATAAAAAAGAAAAGAGAGAAGAATCAAATAGACACAATAAAAAATGATAAAGGGGATATCACCACCGATCCCACAGAAACACAGACTACCATCAGAGAATACTATAAATACCTCTACGAAAATAAACTAGAAAATTCAGAAGAAACAGATAAATTCCTGGACATATACAACTCCCATGACTAAACTAGGAAAAAGTAGAATCTCTGAATAGACCAATAACAGGCTCCAAAATTGAGGCAATAATTAATAGCCTACCAACCAAAAAAAAGTCCAGGACCTGATGGATTCATAGCCAAATTCTAACAGGGGTAAAAAGAGGAGCTGTGTACCATTCCTTCTGAAACTACTCCAATCAATAGAAAAAGAGAGAATCCTCCCTAACTCATTTTATGAGGCCAGCATCATCCTGATAGCAAAGACTGGCAGAGACACAACAAAAAAAGAGAATTGTAGACCAATATCCATGATGAACATCAATGCGAAAATCCTCGATAAAATACTGGCAAACCAAATCCAGCAGCACATCAAAAAGTTTATCCATCACGATCAAGTTGGCTTCATCCCTGGGATGCAAGGCTGGTTCAACACACACAAATCAATAAAGGTAATCCATCACATAAACAGAACCAATGACAAAAACACATATGATTATTTCAATAGATGCAGAAAAGGCCTTTGACAAAATTCAACAGCCCTTCATGCTAAAAACTCAAAATAAACTAGGTATTGATGGAACGTATCTCAAAATAATAAGAGCTATTTATCACAAACCCACAGCCAATATCATACTGAATGGACAAAAACTGGAAGCATTCCCTTTGAAAACTGGCACAAGACAAGGATGCCCTCTCTCACCAATCCTATTCAACATAGTGTTGGAAGTTCTGGCCAGGGCAATCAGGCAAGAGAAAGAAATAAAGGGTATTAGTTAGTAAAAGAGGAAGTCAAATTGTCCCTGTTTGCAGATGACATGATTGTATGTTTAGAAAACCCCATTGTCTCAGCCCAAAATCTCCTTAAGCTGATAAGCAACTTCAGCAAAGTCTCAGGATACAAAATCAATGTGCAAAAATCACAAACATTCCTATACACCAATAACAGACAAACAGAGAGCCAAATCACGAGTGAATTCACATTCACAATTGCTACAAAAAGAATAAAATAAGTAGAAATCCAACTTAGGAGGGATGTGAAGGACCTCTTCAAGGAGAACTACAAACCACTGCTCAATGAAATAAAAAGAGGACACAAACAAACGGAAGAACATTTCATGCTCATGGATAAGAAGAATCAATATAGTGAAAATGGCCATACTGCCAAAGGTAATTTATAGATTCAATGCTATCCCCATCAGGCTACCAATGACTTTCTTCACAGAATTGGAAAAAGTACTCTAAAATTCATATGGAACCAAAAAAGAGCCCACAATGCCATGACAATCCTAAGCAAAAAGAACAAAGCTGGAGGCATCACGCTACCTGACTGTAAACTATACTACAAGGCTACAGTAAACAAAACAGCATGGTACTGGTACCAAAACAGAGATATAGACCAGTGGAACAGAACAGAGCCCTCAGAAATAACACCACACATCTACAACCATCTGATTTTTGACAAACCTGACAAAAACAAGAAATGGGAAACGGATTCCCTATTTAATAAATGGTGCTGGGAAAACTGGCTAGCTACATGTAGAAAGCTGAAACTGGATCCCTTCCTTACACCTTATACAAAAATTAATTCAAGACAGATTAAAGACTTAAATGTTAGACCTAAAACCATAAAATTTCTAGAAGAAAACCTAGGCAATACCATTCAGGACATAAGCATGGTCAAGGACTTCATGACTAAAACACCAAAAGCAATGGCACCAAAAGCCAAAATAGACAGATGGGATCTAATTAAACTAAAGGGCTTCTGCATGGCAAAGAAACTACCATCAGAGTGAACAGGCAATCTACAGAATGGGAGAAAATTTTTGCAATCTACCCATCTGACAAAGGGCTAATATCCAGAATCTACAAAGATCTTAAACAAATTTACAAGAAATAAACCAATCAAAAAGTGGGCAAAAGATATGAACAGACACTTCTCAAAAGAAGACATTTATGCAGCCAACACACACATTAAAAAATGCTCATCATCACTGGTTATCAGAGAAATGCAAATCAAAACCATAATGAGATACCATCTCAGGCCAATTAGAATGGTGAACATTAAAAAGTCAGGAAACAACAGATGCTGGAGAGGATGTGGAGAAATAGGAACACTTTTACACTGTTGGTGGGAGTGTAAATTAGTTCAACCATTGTGGAAGACAGTGTGGGGATTCCTCAAGGATCTAGAACTAGAAATACCATTTGACCTAGCAATCCCATTACTGGGTATATACCCAAAGGATTATAAATCATGCTACTATAAAGACACATGCACATGTATGTTTATTGTGGCACTATTCACAATAGCAAAGACTTGGAACCAACCCAAATGTCCACCAATGATAGACTAGATTAAGAAAATGTGGCACATATACACTGTGGAATACTATGCAGCCATTAAAAAGGTTTAGTTCATGTCCTTTGCAGGGACATGGATGAAGCTGGAAACCGTCATTCTGAGTAAACTATCACAAAGACAGAAAACCAAACACTGCATGTTCTCACTCATAGGTGGGAATTGAACAATGAGAACACTTGGACACAGGGCAGGGAACATCACACACAGGGGCCTGTCGGGTGGGGGACTTGGGGACAGATAGCATTAGGAGAAATACCTAATGTAAATGACGAGTTGATGGGTGCAGCAAACCAACATGGCACATATACCTATGTATCAAACCTGCATGTTGTGCACTTATACCCTAGAACTTAAAGTATAATAAAAAAAAGATGGATATAGAGTAAAGATATGGAGATATATATAAGAAAAGTTATTAAAAGCAGTAAAGCAAATTGCAGAACATGATGTATACCATGATCTTATTTAAGTAAAATAAAGTGTTAGTATATATACTTGATTGTGAACACGTAAGTTCTGGAATGATACACAAGAAATTCTAAACAGTGGATCTCTTAGAAGATTAAGAATAGAAGGCCAGAGATGGAAAGGCAAAATGCACTTTTACTTTTTATTTTACATGCTTCAATATTTCACCATTAGTATGAATTATGGTTGTATTTTTAAAACTACAATTTAAAAATATTATTTAAGATGTTAAAGCAGAATAATAGAAAAGAAGAGAACTGATAGCTCTTTGAAGTTGTATTTGTTTCCTAGGGCAACTGTGACAAATTACCATAAATTATGTGGTTTAGAACAAATCTAAATTTGTTGTCTTTCAGTTCTGGAGGCCAGAAGTCCAAAACGGAGGCATTGGCAGGTTTGATTCCTACTAAGGGCTATGAAGGACAAGCAGCCTGTACAGCCATTTAATACTGTCTTGTCTCGCAGACTTATAGTTTATCCAAGGAAACATAAGAGTGAGTTAAGCAAATGTTCCAGGTAGGGGGATGAGCACCTGGAACATGCTAGAGCTGGGTGAAACCATGACCATTCAAGTTCAGAGTAGACGATGCTCAGAGACTGGGATAGGAAGTGGGTAGAAATTAGTCACATTAATTTGGAATCATGATTTCCATGCTTGGCTCATTCTAATGACACAGAGTTCTTGAATGTGACAACAAATTAAGCTTCTTCAACTTTGTTATGTATAAAAATTATTACCAGGTAAGTCTCTAAACTCTATTTCCTTTTATAAAACTTATAAAAACTTTTACTAAGTAGCTGGCTAATAAAAGTATAGGACAAAATTAAACATCTTTACTGAGGAGTAGGAAACATTTTGACTTTCACTTACAATTCATTCCAATAAAAATTGGCAGTGAACAAGGTTTACCTAAGTAATCGCCTTACACTGAGTTTTAAGAAAAATATACAGCTACTTAAGTTATTCTATTTTTTGTGCAGAAAATTTTCCTAAAAATATGGCTTTAAAAATTGATAAGCTTCAATGCTGGGTGTTATTATGTTTTAGTGAGAAATTACAAGTACGTTTTAGTTTTATTAAAAATAATGGAACTTGAGGTTGGGTAGAGGATAGTACATACGGCTTCCCTTGCTGTTTATGTTTGGAATGGATAATCTTACTTATAACACATTAGAATCCACCTAGTAATGAGCCATCATAGAATGTGACACAGTTGTGTGTTTCTTCCCTAAACATATATCAGCTGAAAAGTGGCTATTCATTATACTGTGAAAGAATTTTAAGTTAGTCTGCAAGGAACTCAGGAAGGAAGGAAATTGAAACAAATTACAAGCAAATGAATTAGTTCTACTCAACTAAATGTATTAATATGACATTAATATTGGAAATATTTCTTTACATTTCTCATGCATTCCAAATCTCTGAGCTAATATAAAGTTTTTTTCTTTTTCAACCTAAATGGCCTTCAAATTAGCCAGGATGGGGCCAATGTGGTCCTGCTTGCTGAAGTCCATTCTGAAAGACACCCTGTATTCTCCATTTAGAAGTGTATGAGTCTCTGGTCTTTGTAGGATTTCGACTGGAAAATCTAGTGAGAGGAAGCCTGTGAAATGCCTAATGCTACCCACTTCCAGTGAGGTAGAAAACCCAAGGAAAGCAGCCTTTGTTGTGGTTTCTCGCACTTTTGGTTTTGGTTCCAGATGGAATCCAGATGGGTAAATATGAATACAAATGAACAAAAGAATGAATTTATATGCTTAGATACAACATTCAGTTCTTTTTGACTTGTGAACAAAGAAATATAGTGTTGGATCTGTGTGTTACTACTTTGGGTTCTCTCATACTTTGACCAATCTAGATCAGTTTTGGAAGTGACAAAATAATAGCAACAAGAAAAACTTATTTCATATTCCAAAGGAACAAACCTGTTTTTGTAGGTTGAAGCAGAAATAGTACTGATTGGAAATAGGTAATAGGCTGCAGAGATTTTAAAGGACAACTTTTTTTGTCATTTTTTAGATTATACTTTAAGTTCTGGGATACATGTTTAGAACATGCAGGTTTTTTATGTAGGTATACATGTGCCATGGTGGTTTGCTGCAGCCATCAACCCGTCATCTACATTAGGTATTTCTCCTAATGCTATCCCTCCCCTAGCCCCATGTCCCCTGACAGTCCCCAGTGTGTGATATTCCCCTCCCTATGCCCATGTGTTCTCATTGTTCAACTCCCACTTATGAGTAAAACTTTTAATTGATGTATAGTTGCCAACAATGGTGACACCAAACAACAACAGATGTTTGCCACCTGTTAAGCAGTAAGTAGGTTTGCCCAGGAGATATTGATCACTCCTACTCAAAATAATTGCTGTTATAAATACTTCAGCATGGATGGACTGTCCCACATATAAATAGTCTGCTAATAAAGCATATGAGGTTGTAATCCTTAAAGATGTAACTTGTGGGGAATGTTATGCTTGAGTGGCACTACTAAGAGAGTTGAATATTTAATAAAAGATGCAGTCACATTAGTTTTGGGCACCATGTGGACATTTCCTGTCTACAATTATTAGGTGGGTGTAAAAGTAATTGCGATTTTTGCCATTGAAAGTAAAGGCTTTGGGAGTCCAAGACGGACAAATCACCTGAGGTCAGGAGTTTCAGACCAGCCTGGCCAACATGGTAAAACCCTGTCTCTACTAAAAATACAAAAAAAAAAAAAAATTAGCCAGGCATGGTGGAGGGTGCCTGTAATTCCAGCTACTCAGGAGTCTGAGGCAGGAGAATCATCTGAACCAGGGAGGCAGAGGTTGCAGTGAGTCGAGATTGTGCCACTGCACTCCAGCCTGGGTGACAGAGTGAGACTCTGTCTCAAAAAAAAAAAAAATTGGCAAAAACCACAATTAATTTTGCACCAACCAAATATTTTGGTAACTGCTACACAAACACACCTATATGCACACATCTACACAGGCACACACACAGGTACACACCTCCAGTAACCCTTACACTGTGGGATTTTGAAATTTGAAGGAAACAAACATTTACAAACAAGTTCTACTTTTCTCCAGTCACAGTGATATATTAAATTCTTCTATACAGGCTTTCAGGTGCTGTGAGGTACAGGCACATGTAATACAGATGAGGCCAGTGCACTAAGAAGAACATATGGGAATGAATCATTGTGTTAACTGTTGAAGACACCAGCCAGACATCATGCCCTATCAAGTCTGTCACAAGCTTTCCAAAGCATTTCATGAATACCCCCAAAACTTTAAGAATAAAAACAGACTAACCAGTGAACTGAAGCATATGCCAGAGTCCATTTAATGCTTTAATATGATTAAATGGCCAACAGATGCCTTTAGGAAATGGTTATAGAAAATACTAGGAAATACAAAACAATGACATCTTCCAAGGATATATCTTGGCTTAGAGAAAAGCCGAACTAGTTAACATAGAATAGCATATTTACATGGAGCTGTCTAGATGCAAATATATATACATATATATGTCCACTACATTTTTTATGGAATCATATTTCCATTGAAATCACAAGCTTGGCTTGTAAAAGCCTTTGACTGCTTGACCCTTAAAACAAATCTGGGTCTTACCCCTGCCCTTGTGGAAAGGAGGAGGCAAAAACTGTGGCCAGGCATAGTGGCTCATGCCTGTAATCTCAGCTACTTGGGAGGCTGAGAAAGGAGGATTGCTTGATCCAAGGAGTTTGAGTCTAAGGTGATCTATGATCATGACACTGCACTGCATTCCAGCTTGGGTGGCAGAGGGAGATAAAAATAAAAATAAAAATAAAAATAAAAACCACCAAAACTGTGCAACCTCTCAATTAGGGAATATTCTCAAACCACCTCCAGATAATAAGTAAGGAATAACTCTCCAAAAAAATGCAATATTCAAAAGCGTAACAGCTAAGCAAACCAAAAAGCTCCAAAAAAAAGTGTAACAGTTGAGCAAACCAAAGAACATATTCCATGTTGGAACAGGGAGTCTGTAAGTCCTGCCACCAAATATGATAATTGCTGTGGACAACGGACCACCATATATTTACCATTCCTTTCTTATCTGAATGAGAGTTATCTTTGAGGTTATTCTCCATACAGAGTATGAAGTGGATATGGCACATAATTTGTCTTTTTGGCTATAGGTGATTGGACCATAAGGAAAAACTTGCAGCATCCAGTACATCTCCCAGAAATCTTAAGACTCTGAACTGGGTGGTCTCCTTTGGGGAGAATAGGGGTTCTATATAGAGTTCTATATAGACTCCCACCTCTCTGGGTAGGTGGGAGTCTAAAACCAGAGAGGAAGGTTCTAGCAGAGCCTGCTAATTTCCTCCCAGTATTCTTTCTCCCCTTCTTTCTTTTAACCCAGGAGGTTTAGCTGGACACATGGCAACTCAATTAGAGGACATTTCCATACCTCTCTTGCTGATATGTGTGGCCCTGCAACCAAGTACTGAATAACAGAATGTGAGTAGAAGTGAACTTCTGGTCACATCCTTCAAAATGAGGGTGCTTGCCTTTTACTTCCCTCCTCCTTTTCCTTATGGCTAGGAGATGGCAACAAGGCATGCAGACACTTTGGACCAGAGATGGAAGCCACGCACACAAGACAGCAGAACTGTCCAGCCAGCCCTGGGCCACTCGTTCCTATACTGTTACAAGAGAGAAATACTTTTCTATCTTATTTAAATCACTGTAACGTAGGAATCTTCATTATACCAACTTATCCTATAACCTAACTATCTAGAAAGTTGTAGAGGGTAAGAGTTTAAGAGTGTAGACTGAGGATACACGGCCCAAATCTGAGCCAAGGCTATGCCACTTAGTAGCTGTGTGGTCTTGGGCAAGTTGCTTAGTCTCTTTTTGCCTTAATTTTCTTATCTGTGAAATTGGGAAAATATGAGTATTATTATTACTATTATTAATATTATTATTGCCATTACTGTCATTATTATTTTTGAAGTGAACTTCCCACTTAATACTTGCTTGGCCAAAAGCTTATAATTAAAAAATATGTAAGACATCTTTTTAAAAACTCACTGGTGCCTATGAGTAAATTAAGATAATTTTAAATTTCACAATAATCCTTGAATCTTAATTTTGTGTTAAATTTCATTAAAAGGATTGGTGTCAGGTGGGATTCTCCCATACTAACACTTTTTGTGAAGAGATTTGGACTACTTCAAATTATATGTCATATCAAATAAATAATGATATGAAGACAAATCTCAACTAATACATTTATTAAAAACTGTGCTCTAGACCCTTGCTACATCAACAACCAAAGTTTATCTTTGTTAAAAATATATAACTTCAAATCACAGTTACTGTGCAATCCACATATCTGGGATGATATTCCAAGATAAAGTATGCAGTTTCCCTGGCCTTGGAATCTAATTTTCTTACTTTTCTTTACATTTAAATATGTTGTTTTTTAAATTTATGAAAATAAAATTATATTGCTCATAGACTTTACTTTCCAGTTGCAATAATAAATACTTGCTGAACTGTTTATAGTCTCTCATCTAATCCACTTATGTCTAATGACTGAGTATAGGGCCTGACTTAGAGGTGTTTATTACATGTTTATTGCATTAACAGATAGAAATATGAGTGCAACTGACACATCAAACAGAGCCAAAAGGATGGAGCTGGGACACTAGGCTTCACTGGAATATGCTTTCACTAGCAGAGCTCACCTGTCATAACCATAAATGTATGGCATCGGAACATGGTTGAAAATTAGACACAGAGGGGTAGAAGAAAGGGCCCGGCAGTCTACATGCACACAAAATGGCAGAAGAGTAAAGGCTTGCCATCCACTATTAATGCAAGTTTAAGTGTATGCAACCAAGTGACATATGGAATACGGTCTGCTGCAAAAAATGTATCCCATTACATGTCTTAATGTCATAAACTGCATCTCTCATTGAAGCTTTACTAGTAATTACTTAGAGCTGAATAATTTTTCAAAGATTACTCACTGATCACATGCTGTACATCCACAGTTAAGCTCAAAGCATGCTAAAAGGAGCTAAATTCAGCTCAGAAATGCTAATGCTTTCAAAACTGAACATTCAGACTACTATGGCATTGTGAAATTAAAAGTTAATATTCATTTTTAGTTTAAACATATTCTAACAATGTAAAAATTAGAAACCTATGAAGCATACTTGTATCTACGACATGACAGTCCTTTCTATGTGTAGTCTCACATTTTTATACATGTTTATAATATTTTTAAAATACTCTAAAGACAGGCCAGGTGCAGCTGTTCACACCTGTAATCCCAGCACTTTGGGAGGCCAAGGCAGGTGGATCACTTGAGGTCAGGAGTTCGAGACCAGTCTAGCCAATACGGCAACACCTCATCTCTACTAAAAATACAACAAATTAGCCAGGCATGGTGACACATGCCTGTAATCCCAGCTACTCCAGAGGCTAAGGCACGAGAATCCCTTGATCTTGTGAGGCGGAGGTTGCAGTAAGCCAAGATTGCACCACTACACTCTAGCCTGGGTGACAGAGTGAGACTCTGTCTCAAAAAAATTAATAATAAAGATAAAATACTCTAAGGAGCAGCCTTAAAGGTCACTATCCTATGATATTTATTAATGACACAGAGAAAGATGTGAGTTTACAGTGGAGAAACCCAGCAAACACTATCCTCATCATGTTGGCAAGAGAAATACATCACTTCTGTAGCATTCTTGCCACAAATATATAACTTCATTTCATCAGCAGAAAACATTATATAATTCCAAACTGTGAGGCATTCCACAAAATAACTGACCTTCACTCTTCAAAATGTCTAGATCATGAAAGATAAGGAAAAACTGTGGAATCATCACACACTAGAGAAGAATAAGAGGCATGATAACCAAAAGTAATGTGGGTCCTAAACTGGATCCTGGAACAGAAAAATAACGTTAATGGAAAAACTGGTGAAATCCAAATAAGGTGTTTGGTTAAGTAAATAAATTGTACCAAGTTTAATAGCTTAGGAATGCTAAATGTACCATGGTCATGCAAGATGTTAACATTAGAAGAAACTGGGGAAGATTATTTGAAAAGTTTCTGTAACTCTAAATTAATATTAAAAATTAAAAGATTAGCACAATTTGATAGTCATATTTTGGTGCTCTTTTGAAGGTAAAAATGCATTAACAATAGAATAATATTCTAACCTGTAAGAACACAGTTTTGTGAGGTTTCCTACAGCAGAGTAATGGCTCTGTGTAGTCACATCTTATTGACATTCATGGGTATCCATTGCATAGATTGTGATCTACAAGCATTCGCTCTTTAAAAATTGTGGGAATTACGGGAGGACAGTCAATAAGCTAAAGAAGAGATAAGGTACACCTAACTCTTAAAGAGTGTCTCCTAAACAGTTGACAAGGAGAAAGGGAAATGCCATTTATAGAGAACTTGGTTATGCCAAGCCCCAGGGTAGGAACTTCAGATGCACTATGGCATTGAACCTTTGCAGCTGTTTGAGGTAGATATTATCATTCTTATTCAATAGATGAGGAAACAAAGGTTTGGAAAGTTTGGAGGAAGCTTTTCTTGGAGGCACACAGCTTAATAAATGGAACAAATAGGGTTTGAACCATGGGTTTATCTGACTTCAAATCCATGCTTCATAGACTGAAAAATAAAACAAAATAGAACAAACACACTGTACTAAGAAACAAAGGTTGTGTTTGTGAAACATTTATGGACCAATTAAATCTTCATCAGGGAAGACTCTTTTGTCATGGCTACAGATGGCATCTTTAAACATAACCAGCTGCACTTTAAAATGCTTATAGTTGGTCAAAAGTGAGACTAAGCCAGCATGTACATAAATCAGGCCAAATGCATCCCCTCCTGCACCCCCCCGGAAAAAAGCCTCAACGCATCTTTCCACTTCATGCAGGGTCACTCATATAATTTCCACTTTTGGATAACAGTCCATTAGAAATCACTTATTAACTAAAGATTTAAAATAAATTCCCATGGTAGGCAATGAAAAAAATATTTACATATTTGTGCCTGTCATCAAGGAAAGTATTTGCCTTAATATGATTTTGAAAATCATCAGTACTCATTTGTCATGTGTTTTTAGTTCTCCAAAGAAGTTTACAGTTTATGACATCTATTCATTTTTTTTTCCAATGAATTCCTTTAACAGACATTTGTTTAACATCTATGTGAGCCTGCCATAGCCCCTGCCCTCATGGAGTTCTAGAAGAGAAAACAGATATGTAAACACATGATTGCTGTAGAGAGTGATAAATGCTGTAATGAAGATTGCTCTGGACACAGTGTTGGCACAAAAGAACATGGTCAACTCGAGATGCTTTAGTTTAAACTTGAAGTATATTGAAGTTCACCAGGAGGATAGGAGGCTGACAGGCTTTCTAAGCAGAGGAAAAAACAGAGACAGGGGAAGTGGGGCCTAAAGCAATTGATCCTTTCCTATACCTCCACCTGCAAAGCAGTGGGCATCCTTTGTCTCTTAGACTTACTGGACCCTGATTTATAAATTGCAATTTTTTCTTCCCAGCTGTGAATGTTAGCTTGCAATTCAGTCCTTAGCCATAAAATACACAAGACAATCTGGAACAGATTGACGATGGGTTTTGTCTAGTTGCATTTGGGGACTGAGTAAAGCATATGGTATCAGTTACAAAACTCTGAAGCAGTTTGTTCAGAACCCAACACAGCCATATCGGTTCAGGCTCTGATATTGTCAGTTATCATCAAGCATGCCCAGTAAGGTGTTGGCATTTTCCTGTGGGAAATAGGCTATCATCTTTGCCAGGCAATGCAAAATTAGGGGTTGTCTGCCTTAATGGAGGAACTTAAGACACCATGGCCCCAGTTATAAAATAAGGTGTAGTGAAGAAATGTCAAGATATAAGAGTGTCATTTTAGCTTGTCTTAAATTCCTCCTGGTTTTACTTTAGCTCATTATTTCCTGAACTTGAATGCTGTTGCTGTGATTTGATCATTACTATTAAGCAGTTGTCACAATTCTTCTGTAGGATAAAATGACTCTTTTATTCAAGGCCAAGTCTGGCAAGTCTGTTCTTATAGATCACATATTTCTAAGTCTCCACAGTTTTCACTTTAAAAAGCTGATGCTGTGACTCTACTCCAGGTTGCCTCTCTCCACTCAGCTGAAGTCACCAGGTTTCCCTCCTCTGTCACATGCTCAGCAGATCTGCCTTCTGCCATTGATTCTCAACAATCCACAGCCCTGTGATAGTTCAAGCTGATCTCCAGAATATGTCACGTGTCTGCTGTCCCAATCAGATATGCTTGCCTGGCCTAGCAGAACTGAGCTAACACTGCTTTAAAGACAGAGGCCTGGCTGTGTTTCAGAATTTTGTAGTTGTTACTCTGCCCAGATCGGATACTATGTGGCTCTTCTGCTTTATCTTTAAAAGGCCAACTGTGTTTTAAGGCTCCACTGACTTCGCTAATTTCAACAGGTCAAAACCAAAATGGATGTAGCATTAGACACTACTGATTCCCAGTGAGTCCCTCTGCCTTGCCCCAGGTGTTCCTTTTAATTGGAAATGTGTATATGACAGAATAGTTTAACAGCTGAGGCTACTAATTGGGGAAAAATACTATCTAGGAAGATAAACTGTTCAATAGGTTGGTCATTATTTTTTATCTTTCCCTATGGTATTACATAAAGTTTCAAAAGCCTATTTTAATTGTACTCTAAAAAGTTTATGGAAATAAGAATGACATAATAATTCTTAGAAAGGTCATACGTTTCCCAAATTATGTTCCATGAAATACAGTTTTTTTGGAAGTTAGCAAAGTATAAAAATAATGGTGTAGATCAACTAAACTAACTTTTTCTTTATTATGTGTTTTAATTTTTTTTATTTTTATGGGTATATAGTAGGATACTAATATACAATACTTGTAGGATACATGAGATTTTGATATAGCCATACAATGTGTAATAATCACATCAGGGTAAATAGGGTTTCCATCACTTTGAGTACTCATCATTTCTTTGTGTTAGAAACATTTCAATTGTACTCCCTCAGTTATTTTCAAATGTATAATAGATTATTGTTGACTGTAGTCACTCTCGTGCTATCAAATACTAGATCTTATTCATTCTAAGTACATTTTTGTATACATCAACCATCCCCATTTCCCACTCTCCAAGCCCCATCCTTCCCAGCCTCTGGTAACCATTATTCTACTCTCTATCTCCATGAGTTCAATTGTTTTAATTTTTAGCTCCTGCAAATGAGTGATAACATGTGAAGTTTGTCTTTCTGTGCTTGGTTTATCTCATTTTGCATAATGTCTTCCATTTCCATTCATGTTGTTGTAAACAACAGGATTTAATTCTTTTTTATGGCTGAATAGTGCTCCATTGTGTATGTGTATTATACTTTATCCATTTATCTGTTGATGAACACTTAGGTTGATTTCAAATCCTGGCTAAAGTGAATAGTGCTGCAATAAACACGGGAGTGCAGCTATCTCTTCTATATGCTAATTTCCTTTCTTTTGGGTATATACTCAGCAGTGAGATTGCTGGATCACATGGTAGTTCTACTTTTAGTTTTTTGAAGAACCTCCATACTGTTCTCTATAGTGATTGTACTAATTTACATTCCCACCAACAGCATATAAGGTTCTCCTTTCTTCACATCCTCGCCTCCCTTTGTTATTACCTGTCTTTTGGATAAAAGCCATTTTAAGTGGGGTGAGATGATAGCTCATTGTAGCTTTGGTTTACATTTCTCTGATGATCAATGATGTTGAGCACCTTTTCATATACCTGTTGGTCATTTGTGTGTCTTCTTTTGAAAAATATCTATTCAGATCTTTTGCCCATTTTGAAAAACTGGATTATCAGATTTTTTTTCTATTGTTGTTTGCCCATTTTTAAATTGGATGATTAGATTTTTCTCTATTGTTGTTTGGGTTGTTTATATGGTTTATGTGTTCTGGTTATTAATTCCTCATCAAATGGATAGTTTGAAGATATTTTCTCGCATTCTGTGAGTTGTCTCTTCACTTTGATTATTGTTTCCTTTGTTGTGCAGAAGCTTTTAAACTTGATGTGACCCCATTTGTCCATTTTTGCTTTAGTTGTCTGTGCTTTTGGGGAATTACTCAAGAAATCTTTGCTCAGACCAATGTTCTGGAGAGTTTCCTCAAAATTTTTTTAGTAGTTTCATAGTTTTGAGTCTTAGATTTAAGTCTTTAATTCATGTTGATTTGACTTTTGTGTATAGTGAGAGATAGGGGTCTAGTTTTATTTTTCTACATATAGATATCCAGAACTAAAGTAATTTTTGGCAAACACTTTTAAATAGTTACCTAATTTCACTGTCAATAGTAAGATGTTCCACAAACAAATTTTTATAGTTTCATAAAGCTGACTATAAAAATATGTGAAGCAAGTTGACATTGCTTATATGGAAGCTAATTCAGCCATCTCAGAGAATTTTAATTTCCTGAGGAGACAGTAATTTTTGATGACATATCTTTAACTATCTGTTAAAGAACCCATGACCAGAAAAATCCATATAACTGAGTCAGCTGTTCCAATGACTAGTTATATAAAAACAATGACCTGAGAAATCACGTGAGACCATTTATTCGATGATGGATCATTAGTGAAAAACTCGTATGTGGCAACAGGGGCCAAAAACAAAAAGAAAATACCACAGAGCTATATGGAAGCAATTGTCATCCATTTACTATTTTCTTAAAATTATAAACAAAATAAATATTTTGTGATGACAGACATCTATCTGGCACAACAACAACAACAAAATCATTCCTTGGAATGAATAAGATCTTGAATTAGCTGCAAGCTTTCCTTTTTCCGTAGGTCACACATTATGCATATGCTATACTCATGTATTCTTTGAATACACCCATTTCTTTGTTCATTTATAGCAATTTTCCTGCACATCATTATTCAGACTGTGAACTATGTTAGTAGATCAATTTTTGAAACAGGATTCCTTTTCTGAAAAATATTAATCATATTTTACATGCTGCATCAGATGCTGCCCCTTGTTGTACCCCTAACATTGGTCATACACTGTGGAGTTCGCCTGTGAAACTCACTTGAATGCAGAACACTGGAAACCAGAGTCATTGTGACAAGGGTGGCACGATGACAAGAGAATAGAAGGATTCAGATCTAATATTATTAGTAGCACAGTGGTTAAGTGTGGAGCTATTGAGTCAGACTAAATAATTCAAATGTTAACTCTACCATTCACCATCTTTGTGACCCTGTACAAATCCAACCCATTGTTGCCTCAGTTTCCTCCTCTGTGAAGGGCTGCCTTATAAAATTGTTCAGAGGATTAAATGAAGGGATACATGTAAAGAACCTAGAACCATGCATGACAAATGGTGAGGGCTCAATAAATGTGACCATGATTGGAATTAAAGTCCTACTTTGTGCCACTAATCACATCATGTACCTTATACAACATATCTGTGAATTAGATAGTATAAGTTTCATTTCACAGATATTCTGAACAAATGGGAGTTACAGAGCTTGAGGAATTTATCTGGTATTAGTACTATGTTTCGTATGCATACTATACACATGGTATCCATTACATATGCAGATACGTAATATATAAAATAAAATTAAGCTGTACATTACATACTGTAGCCATTTATTATTTTTTATCCTGATAATGTCATGGACATGGTGGGAGGATTTTAATGATGATGGGGGTGGGGTGGGCTATCTCAACATAATTAGATTTGCATACTTAAAAAATACAACAGCTAGACTCAAGACAAGTGAGTCTAGAGGTAGGAAAGTGAGTTAGGAGGCTATTGTAATTGTTTAGGGGAAAGATGATGAAAGTCTGCATTAGGTTGGTGGGGAAGGAGCCAGGATACAAGAGCTATGTAAAAGGAAGTTATGAGCACTGAAGTAGAGGGGGAATAATCTAGGATAAGTTGGAAATCTTTGGGTAACTGGCTGGACAAATGAGAAGAGTTTGGGGTTCCAAAAACACACCCATTCCCCTTCCTGACCAAAGGAATTTGTGTTCTCTTTGCTGCAGTGTTATAACACTTTTATCAGACCTATTGTGCTCTATTGTAATATATTTGGATTTTCCCCAAGACCTCAAAAACCTACACAGTACACAGACAATAGCATCTGCTGAATAAATATAGGTTTTAAGTCACGTTGGCCTTGTTCAATATATGATATGTATTAAGACATATACTTTATCAGTACTAAATTTCAATTCTCTTCCAGCTTCTTGGCATGTAAGGATATCCTCCTTGGAAATACGAAAACCTGAAATTAGTGCCATTGGAAAGAAGAATCAATAGCTCTAAGCGACACATATAAATTAATGAAGCATTTCCCTGTGCAATTTTTGTCACTGAGTCACAGGACTGGGATGAATATTTGTTTTACATTTTTTACTTTAAGTTATAATGATGTTAACTAGCATTAGTTGGTGAGACTGTGGGGAAACAGGCACACTTATACATTGCTTACAGTAATTAGCAGAGCATATTAAAGTTTAAAATTCTCACTTAAAATTTTTTTTAAATTCCATTTCTAGAAATCTTTACTATAGAAATGAGTACAAGAATACAAAGATTTATATGTAAGATGATGGTCATTGTAGGAATATTTATGGTAGCAAAGCATAAGAAAATCTGAATGTATGTCAACTGACTAAATAGATAAATACAGTACATTCATAAAATGAAATATTATGTAGTCATTTAAAAGAGGAAGGTAATTTCATATCTCCTGACCTGAAAAAATGTGCAAAATATATTAAGTTGGAGAAAAAAGAAAGTTGCAGGCCACTATTACAGCATTGTTTCATTTTTATTTTAAAATACAAATGTATGCAGGTGTGTATATAAATAGGTCAGTGTCAGTTTGGGCAAAATCTTGAAGAATATGCCCTCAACTTTTATATGCTCTTTAACCTCGGAGCATAGTGTGACTGAGTATGATGGGATAGGTGGAGAACAGATGTTCACTAGGCATTTTACATGTTTTTTTTAAGTGGTGGGATTATGAGTAATTTGTTTTTCTTTCTTCAGGGATTCTCAATATTTTTTCAGCCGTTAAAAAACATTAAAAACAAATTAGTATGTACTGATCTAGAAAGATATTCATAATATTGTAAGTAAAAAAATGGAGGTTACAAACAAAAGTTTGTATTGAATTGTATCATTTCTTGGTAAATATTTATAATAAATAAAAAGGCTAGATAGATATATACCAAACTGTGATGTCTGGGGCAAGATTAGAAAGAACATGCAGTGATTTATTACATACATTTTGTATTATTTGTAATAAAAACAATAAAATATTAAAACAACCATTATTAAAAGGTCATCATGGCTGTTTTATATCTTAGAAATGTGCTTTAAAAGTTAATAGATTTTAGTAAAGAAAACTATATTCTAATTAGATCAGTAGCGTGTTCCATTATGCAAAATATCCTTCTGTAAAGTGAATTAACTTTTTGTGATATTAATATTCACAATGCCTGGCTGCCCATTTTGGCCTAGTTAATGCTTGCCTTTTGGAGAAATAGAGGTCAAAGTTTCTTAATTACCCATCTAAAACTTATTGAGAAAATGTCATTATTTTGTCTTCATTAGCATCTCAAGGAAGGCTCTGTGCCCCACTTCTATGCATTTGGTCCCTCTTTTCCTTTTTAAATGAGGGGTATTTATCTTTAGCAGTTGAAACTCTTTGAATGTTGACATAACTTAAATTTCAAGGCAGAAGAAGGGAGGTTACTGTTGCCTGTACTTACATAGAGGGAGCAGATTACTACATTTGCCTGAATACAAAAATCCTGAAAAAGCAGCTGTCTAGTGGAGGCTTCCCTGTCCATGGAATGAACTTCCTTTCTCATGGACATTAGGACCTATGTTTGGAACAAAATCAGCTTTTATCATCCTGTTTAGGGTAATAAATGAATTGGCTGGGTAACCTTCAGCTTTCTACTTGCTTCCAATCCATGTTTTAAAGAGCCTTTTAATTTCTGAGCATTTAAATTACATTAATTACATTTGAACTGAACAGGTTCTTACAGTGTCTTGTGCTTGCAAAATTTTCAAAGGGAGAAAAATGTTAGCTCAAACCTTGTAATCCTAGAGCTGAGTGCTGCTGAGAGTTTCAAGAAAATTCAGCAAAATGAATGGCATACATTGTATTTATTTATTTATTTAAAATAATATGTAATTATATTCTTCATTTCAGGACTCCTAAAAGAACAAATTATCTGTCTTAATTGAAGCTCAGTTTTCAGGAATAGAAAATAAGTAAAAACAACAAAAACAACACTAGAAACCTCTGAAAGTGCAAAGAAAAGATAATACCAAAAGTACATAAAATGGAGTTTCCTAAATATCAATTGAGGAGTGACTGTGAAATCTTTCAACAATGTGAAAAGTGGATAAAACACTCAGAATTACTTATAGGGTGAAAAATATAAGAGGGATGAAATAATTAACTGACTAAAAATGGAAGTAAGTGTTGCTTCATTGACAGATGAGTGGGATGTATAAAATCCCACATTGTAAAAAAGATTTAATTTTTCCAGTTCTGATTAATAAAGGACAGTATTTCTAATGCACTCATAAAACATGGAAAGACTTTTCATGTTTGATGACATATACAAATTTAAGAAAAATTCTTCAAAATCAATAAAAATTATAATTACTATACCTATCAACAGGCTTAACAATTTAGTTTTCTTAGTATTTAAAATTCATCTGAAATCCTCATCAGCAAAATAAACCTTGCTTTCCAGAGAGATAAGTCTTTTCTTTACTTAATAATGAAAAGGAACTGCATCCCAGAAAAGAAACCCAATTATTTTATGGAGGTGGCCTACAGCACCCATTTGAATCATCAGGATTAGGCAATGACCCTCTTTTGGTTATATTTATCTGACCGTTTTCTGCAGGAAAGGAACATTAATAGCTATATAAAGCTTCAACACATGTTGCACAGAGAGGACTATATAATCCTCTATTATTTCTGCCTGTAAATGACTACATGTCTAGCACTAGCCTGGGGCAGAATTGGCTGCCAGGAAACTTGACCTGCATCATGGGCTTAATGAAGCTGTAATGTTCTGTTTATAATTCTTTCCACTCTTAACTAGTATTGTATCCAGGGGAAATGAGATAATGTGCCTCTCCTTTTTGGATCATTGGGGCTACTGACCAGTCCTCTGTGAAGGGACAAGGAATACAATGTGGACACTGTTCAGGTTCTGTGATTTGCTCTGCCCATCATTCTGGAGATCAATTCAGATTTGGGCAGGTAGGGCACCTAATTTTCACCCATAGGAACAAAGTCTGACATATGGCTGCCTGTAGGTGTGTGTGGACTGGTAGACTTGAAATATACTTGTATACAATTTCCTCTGCCTTTTCTATGATGACAATAAGTGAGGCTGGGCCTTTCCAATATTTTTTATTTAGAGATGTTTTCCTTCAGTATCCCTATCCCTTTTCTGATCCTTTTTCTCATTCAGGGGCTTCTACTTTGTAAAACTATTATGGACTTTTAGACTTCCAATCTGCTCAGTCTCTTCTGGCCACCCCAGCAAGAAAGGAAAGGATATAATTTTTTTTAACCTAACCCGTAATCAAACCAGTGGCCCCTTCTCCAATTTTGGAACAAAGAGTTTAGAATGGAGGCATCATTAAATAGGCGAAAGAGGTTTTTAGAGTAGGCAGTTCTCTTGCAAGGGTTCTGAAATGTGGGGTGTTTGAGGAAATACTGACTTGGGTGGATCTCTCCTTTCTGAGCTCCTCCTCACCTCCCTGAAAGCGAGGGTTGGGAACCCTCACTGAGTGCAGGTGCAAATGCAGGCACTATAGTGGAGAAGTGGGTGTCTTGCTTCTTGGCCCTTTGCGTGGACAGCCCCAAGACCTAGAGCCAACCCTGCCATGTGACACGCAACTGACAAGCAGCTTACCATCCTTTTTCTTTCTTTATTCTTCTTCTTTTCCTCTGCTCTTGAATACCAAAACAAAACACAGCCTCATAATCTACTCATTTAATACAATTACCTTTTCCCTCCATGACACTTAGTCAGAATTCCTCCTGCTATTATACACTTGTTAACAATTTCAGTGGCCCTGTTTCCCTCAGACAGAAAATTCAGAGTTTCCTCAGCACCATGAAGACAGAAGCAGCACAGGAGGGAGACAGAGGGTGATGGCCTTGCTGCTCAACTACACTGAGAGCAATTGGCATCCTAACTAAGGAAAAGGCCCACAGGGGCAGTTAGGGAGCCACTGTGGCCTTTGAGATGGTATAGAGTGGTCTGTTGTCAGAGTGGAAGCCATGCTGACGGGTCTATCTGTTGACAGAGAAGGAAAGGGAAAGATGGTAAGACATGACCAGGAGTCACAAAGATAAAGATTATTTTTTAACATGGGGGTGATTTGTATGTTTGCTGACAGAAAAGGAGGAGGCAGTAGAAGGGATAAGTTCGAAGAATAATTAATTGGTGGACCCAGGCTCCCAGGAGAAAGGAGGTAATAGGTCTGAGGAAAGTGGAGGGATTAGCCTCTGAGAGAATAGACAGCTCCGTCTTAGAGAAGGGATCTGTGAAGGTATAGAAGGATTTGGAGATGTAGGTTTAAACCAGCTGACTTTGATCTTCTTAACAATCTGTTGAGACTTAGGGCATAGGGATGAAAGAGTGAGGAGAGTGGAAAAGATTTGGAAAGGATGTATCATGTCCTCTGGTGGTGAGACAGGTGTGTCATATTTATTTATCATGGGCTGCGAGTCAGTGGGTCTTAAAATAGGAACAACTGGCTTCAGAAATTAGTAAGAGCCTAAGCCAGAAGGAGGGAATAATTCTAGAAAAAAAGGCACTCGGTGAACCACCACATGTTTTGAAAACTCACTGGGTCTATAAGCCTTTCTAGAGGCTCTTTGGAAAATGAATCAGAAGACCTGGGTTATAGCATTGACTCAGCTACTTAACATCTTTCCTATTTTTGGCATGATTGTTAATTATTTCCCAATCAGGCTCACCACTTGCAAAATGGGTATCTATTAATTTACTCAACAAATACTTACAGACTGCTCACTACTGCAAGGTGCTGTGTTAGGGATGGCAGGTACAAGAGAAACAGGATACTCTCTGTCCTCAAGTTTCCATCAGTCTAGTGACTCCCAATCTTGCTTCATTTACTGGGAGGGTCAACTGAGATAATAAGTCAGAATGTGTTTTTAAAATTCTGGAGCCCAACTGTAGAAAAAATCTATAGAAAAGTAATTTTTTTCTTGAAACAACTGTCTTGTTGTGATCATGACCTAATGGTGATCACAATTTCTAGATAGAAGACTACCTCCAAAAGATGCCCATGGCTCTCCCAGGCTTAAACCCTCTTATGGCAACCATTGCCTCCTATTGGGAAGCAGGGAGCATAGCTTTTACACTGCACTGAAGATATCCTCTCCACTTCCTCCTGTCTCCAATGACTGGTTGCCGTATTCTTGTGGCTGACTCCTCTGATGAAGACAGCGCTAATTCCAGCAGAGGCACAACACAGAGCTGTCCCAGTAGCCAAGTGTAAACCAGCAGAGTTCTTTGATCTTCAGCCTGCTGCATTCTTTGGGTGGCCAAAACTTTGGAAGGACAAGCTGAAAGAGTATGTCTGGTGTTTGGAAGCCAGGTCAGAGGTAATGTTCTGGAGATGCTTACTGAGAGTAGAATTAAGAAAATTGCCTTTTCTTTTTGATGTCTAAGTCTAGAATAGGAAAAATTATTCTCTGAAATGTATCCAGAAGTTCTGGGAATGGTCTCTCACTACAATTATGGCTGCAGGATTAATTTTGCTATGCTATACCCAACTTTCATTAGCATACTCAATTTTGTTCCATATTTGTTTCATCTAACATTAAAAAATTGCCATCAGTGGTGGAATATGGAGGAAATGGAGGAAATCTTTCTCTTCTTTCGTGTTCAGGCTAAGGGGGAAGTCTACTTCTAAAAGGAGGATTTGTCAGATAAGAAAAAAATATAAACTGCAGATTAGGTGTAGAGGAGAGG
This sequence comes from Homo sapiens, assembly GCF_000001405.40. NCBI lineage: Eukaryota > Metazoa > Chordata > Mammalia > Primates > Hominidae > Homo > Homo sapiens. The sequence continues at coordinate 121,201,764 of NC_000007.14, read as the reverse complement.
AGGACGGAAGATGAAACTGAGATTGCTTTACCTTCTGCTTTCTGTCTTCCTCTGTGAAGGGCTGTATTTATAACTGCATTCAGAAATTAGATTCCTAGAGGGCTTACCAGGTAGAGGTATGAGCTAACTGCTCCCTACCTAGGTGTGAGAAAAGCAACAAAAAGCTGCAAAGAAGTCAATTTTCTGGGCATTCCTCTCTAAATTTTCTCCTTCCTTCCTTCCTTTCTTCCTTCCTTCCTTTCCTCTCTTTCTCTTTCTTTCCTTCTCTCTCTCTCTCTCTGTCTCTCACTCTCCCTCTCTCTCCCTCTTTCTCTCTTTCTCTTTCTTTCTTGATGACATCTCACACACCCTTTTGCCCAGGCTGGAGTGCAGTGGCGTGATCTTGGCTCACTGCTACATCCACCTCCTAGGTCCAAGCAATTCTCCTACCTCAGCCTCGTAAGTAGCTGCAATTATAGGTGTGTGCCACCAAGCCAGGCTAGTTTTTGTATTTTTGGTGGAGCGGGGTGTTACCATGTTGACCAGGCTGGTCTTGATAATAATTTATTTCTATAACTTTGTCTTTCTTGGGGTGTCTCGATAGAAAAGTACATTTTCTAGAGTTTGTTCCCTAAGCTCTGGTTCTTGACCTTCCCATCTGATGTGCACCTCCTCCTACCTTGTATCTCAGATCCGATTTTCTCAAAAACCTAGAGATTGCTCTATTAAAGGCAGAAACACCCACACATGTTACAGTGAAGGGAGGTTTTTATTAGCTTTCAACACGTGATTCTGTGCCTTGCCCTATCTAACCTTCTCTTCACTGCTCTCTCTTTTGATTTGCCTTTAATGTGGATATTCTCCTATGAATGACTCTGAGGTTGAATGTCTGAGAGACCCTTTGCTGCTACAATGACACTATTGCTCTCATTGTCATTTCCTCATTGATCTTAACTTCTTGGTGTGATTTGTTTCTCTTCTTGGGCTAGAGAAGTTTGTTTCTCTTTAGGTTCCCCACTTTGCACTGGTCTGTATCAAACTTTCTGTTTCATTCAATTCAACAAATATTTGCTGATAATTGTGCCTGGTCCAATGTAGGATAAAAATGTAAGTAAGACTCTTTCTTTTTTAAAAAAACTTTAAAATTTGTGGGGAGACAGCCAAGTGTAGAGTAAGCCAAATATTGTAATAAGTTCTGCTGTACACACTTGAGAAGAATTAACTGAAGGTACACCCACATTCCCAAAAAGGCTCCCAGAACCTCTCCATTTTGCCTTTTTCCAATTTCCAAATTCCTACATCACTTATTTGAGGCTTAAATCAGCATTTTCCACAGTATATTCCTTGTAACACTAGGCCCAAGAGATGCTCTGTGAAAAAACAATTTCACGACCAATTAAGAATAGGAAATGTATACCCATTCTCTTGGAAATCCACAGTATGCATTGACACATCTGAGGTTTTCACCAGCAGAGAGGCTGGAGAAAATTTCTTTAACCCAGAATTTTCTGTTTTTATATCCTTGCACACCACTTTTTACATAATACCTTATAGGAAAAGTGATGTTTCTCAGGCCACACTCTTGGAAACATTGCCCTAATTGATTCATTAAATGATGAATATGATAATGTTATGAAAATCTTACATGTATGCATGTTTATCATCATATAAAACCTTTTATACCAGCTGGCTTTTTAAATACCCAGAATTGTGCTGCCCAATATGGTAGTAATGAGCCACATGTAACCTACTGAGCACTTGAAACACAGCTAGTCTCAGATGAGATGCACTGTAAGTATAAAATACACACCAGATTCAGAAGACAATATAAAAAAAGAATGTGAACTCTCTCACTAGTAATTTTTATACTGATTATATATTGAAACATAATATTTTGGATATATTTGGTCCAATAACATATTTTTTAAATTAACTTCACCTCTTTACTTTTTTAAAAAATGTGGCTACAGGAAAATTTAAAATTACGTATGTGGTTCACATTATCTTTCCATTGGCTGACACTGCCTTAGAAAATAGAAACTTTTTTCTATATTTGTATTTTTCTTTTCTTTCTTTCTTTCTTTCTTTTTTTTTTTTTTTTTTTTTTTTTTTGATGGAGTCTCACTCTGTTGCCAGGCTGGAGTGCAGTGGCATGATCTCGGATCACTGCAACCTCTAGCTCCCAGGTTCAAGCGATTCCCTCACCTCAGTCTTCTGAGTAGCTGGGACTACAGGTGTGCACCACCACCCCCAGCTAATTTTTGTATTCTTAGTAGAGACAGGTTTCACCATGCTGGCCAGGATGGTCTAGATCTCTTGACCTCGTGATCTGCCCACCTCTGCCTCCCAACGTGCTGGGATTATAGGTGTGAGCCACCGCGCTCAGCCCTATGTTTGTATTTTTCTATAGCACACGGAAAGACCATATACCTCATGAAAATATTTTCAACACTGTTGACTAAATTATTATGGTTGGGAAAGCCAGTGAGTTGAATCTAATTCTCCAAGGTGTTCACACTCTTACTCATTATTATACCCCATGTGTGGACTGTCCCTACTGTCCATTCACTACTTCAGCCTATAAATCATAGAGAACCACACTTGGTAATGCTGTGCTTCTACTGATGATCTAAGACCCCTTGTTATGTTCTTCTTAGCTCCCTGATTACAAATGCTAAAGAGCACTTGTAATTCCTATTTCAAAGCAATCATTACGCTGCCATTTCTGTGAATTTCAATAGTTTTGGGCACTCATAGACTGTAGAGTTATTCCCTGGCATTGAATCTAATTTGCCAAAGGCATCATCATTGTTTCTAATGACCTAAAATACCACTCGTTGGTGGGCAGGGGAAAAAAGCAGAAGTCAGAATCACTACTATTATCACATTTGCTTCAGAGGGAATCTTCCCAGATTTGAAGGTCCGTGTAACAGGCTCAGAAATAACTGATAGAGACAGTGTATTCAGTTACCGATAGGAATGAAACTTAAAATAGAATCACATGCTTTGATAAGTCATGCCATATTTGTGAAATCATTATGCCAGCACGTGGTATCTTGTAACCACCTGAATCTACAGCTACATGAACGGCTTTGAGTTGGCTGCATTTCACATGAGCTGCAGAGAAGGCTCTGGCGTAGTGAATTTCAGAGAGTAGTAAGAAGACAACCCCAATGGCAGCTGATATGAAAGTTGCAGTGAGAGGAAAATAAGCAGGATTGGGCAGCACTCTGTAAAGTATGAGTCCGGGCAAAAACACAGGGAACAACCCCATGGCAAATAAACTGCAGGTGCTTCCAATCAGGCAAAAGTGTGCTTGCTCCACTCACACTTGCCATCTGAGGAAAACTGCAATGAAAATGGATCTGATTTACTCATCTTTCACACAGAAGCATAGCATGTGCACAAGAAACCATACCGAATGTAACCATAAAAATGAGCTTTTATCTAAGAAGCTATAAAAAGGCATCAAAAAAGATGTGTGCTCATGACACTCAGAAGCTTATATTTGAATAAAAAAGCCTTCTTATTTTGTCAGTTTGGTTCAATAACATTTTTTGAGATTGTCTAGTTTATAAATGCCAAGGTATAAGGTACTGAGTGATTTTTTTCCTAAACAATAAACTCTGCTGACACCACCTTGTCTTTCGCGTAATAACTGCTACCCCCAACACTATTTTCTGACTTTTTATTGTAATCTTGTTCTAAACACATCAGTCTTTCTCTATTGCAATCTAACCACACATTGTTATTAGACTTAAACTTTGAAACACATTTCTGAACATATCTCCCCAATATTTTTAAAAATCAACGATTTACCATTGGCATTAAACAAAAGCCACACTTACTAGTCTGATTCTTCGGTTTACAATTTGGTTTCATCTACTAGCTTGGCCTTACCATCCATAATCAACTTTGTATACTCCACAGATGAGGCAATTTGGACAGCTTGCTTTGCTACTCTTGTGCTGCCAGGCTCAGCTTCCATCTCTGCACATCCAGCTCCTACTCAAAGTTCATGGTTCAAGTCAGTTCCACGGCTCTCTCAATAGCTAGAATTCTACAGCCTCTGCCCTCAGCATTTTTCTAAGAATTCTTCTACTGTTACCTCTATTAAGCACATACATGCGCATGCACAAACACACACACACAACACACCCATATACACACACTCGACTGTAGCAATTATTCTGCCTAAATCAAATCCTAGCTTTGCCCATTACTAGCTGTTTAACATGGGGCATTACTTAACCTCCCTGTGCCTTAGTTTCCTCAAGTATGAAAAGAAGGATAATCATAGGACTTACTTCTAAAGGCTTTTGTGGGGAATAAATGAGTTTCTGTAAAGTGCTGAGAACAGTGCTTGATGTACAGTTGGCCCTTTGTAAGTAATTCGGTGTTATCCATAGCAGCAGTCATAGTAAAGGTATTAGTGGTACTGTTGTTATTTTTTTATCCCTGGCAGTACTTTCATGTGATCTCATGTATTGCTCATGATCAACAAACATTTATAGAGTAAAGCAGTAAGTAAATGAGCATAAAGTAATACATTTTAAAATGAGAGTCAATGCACTAATTTGCTATTACTTTTAAAACCTGCTTTAAGAATGCTCTCTTAATAGTACCAGGACTTATTGGGTCCTCTCTAGAAAAAAAAAAAAAAAAAAGATTATTTTTAAGGAATAACTAAAGTAAAAACAAAGCTCTACGAACTGGAAACTTGTGGATTAGCTACTTTATGAAAGAACATTATTTTAGTGTGCAATTCTGGAGAAGCAAACATTGATCAACATTTATATTTGATATCCTTAACTTTAATAAACATACACAAAACAAAAATTGAGTTCAGTCCAGTAATGGCAACCAAATGGTGTTTTTTAACTTTCCAGATTGACTTTGTGCCCATTATTTCATTAAAGTTCTCTTGCTCTAATGAGCTAGACTTGTGGGAAAAGGTTTAAAAATAAAGCTGAAAAAAAAAAAGAAACTTTAGTGTGATCTAAAATTCGGTCTCATCTATTCTCTGTCAGCGTACGGTAGCACGGGGAACTGAAGAAACACTCTTCAGCCTTTGAAAATCAATGTGCATTTATAAGAGAGCTGCTGCCTTTCAGTCATAGCATTTTCCCTGCTGTCTTATAAGTATGTCCTGCACTAAATTTTACATGTCCCCAGACTCCTATTTAATTCTCACAGCTGGGAGACAGGACTAAGTCCAGCCAAATCTGTTTTCCTAGAGTGCCTACAAATCTGCCCTTTAATAATTTATTTTCTCTACTATAATGGTCTCTAACTAAGCTCTAATAGATTTTGCCACACAGTTGCTGCTTTAATCAGAGAAGAGAGTTTTATGGGTTTATTAATCATGCTCTTTTTCAAAAGCTGCTGATTAAGCATTTGCCTGACAGTTGCAAGCAGTCAGAAGGTACAATGGAGGCTGTTTGCTTACTGAGTAGCAGCCTGCAGGTAGCTTTCTCATAGGGCCCACAACAGACTGCATACAGCTAGTGCCAACTGAGCAGACTGAAGTTTCAATTCCCCCCAGCTCCCAGCAGCAGATTGTTCTCAGCAATCTTCTCCCCACCATTTTATTCACCAGGACTATTCCAGCAGCCAATAGCAAAATTCCTTCCTGCTCTCCACATCCCAAAGCAGCTAAATTATTTCTGAAAACTGAATGACATGCTTGGCAAAGAATGTATTCCACCCTGAGGCGCTACTTACAACAAGGTTTTCTTTGGCCTCCTCAAGCAGCAGACCCACTAAACACCATCTCCCCCCGGCCTTCTAGGAAAGCGGCAACCTAAGCCACATAGTCCCTTTATGTGTTATAGTCAAGGCACCAACTAACAGCCAAACAACACAGCAAGGCTTCCTGGATTCAAGAAAACCCCTATTTCTCCAAGGCCAATTTACAGCACACTCATAGGAACACACATTCACACCAAACACCAACCAAGCTTGAGGTTTTGTTAGAAGTCAAGATACCGGTAATAAGCAGCAAGTTGTGTTTTTGAAAGAAAAATTAACTATTGAATGTTTTTACACTGAAGATAAATGTTTTCTTCAAAATGCATAACTGTCTGGAAGTCCTTCATATTTCTTAGATATGTGTGTAAATTTCCCTATTCCCTTAGTGGTTATTACCAAGTAGAGAAGAGTGAAAATATCCTTGAGGTGAATTTAGTAATGATTGGTCCATGACTTATCTAAACTTTTCTACATTTGGTTCCAGAGCAAACATTTAAAGCAGTACTTCATATTCTCAACCTAGCATAACTGTGTTAGATGTACTTCTCCTTTGACTTAAAATGATCAGATTTCTAAAATTAAATTTTTGCTGGAGTTATCAACATTATGTGATGTATCTGTAAACACTAGAAAATGAGCAGTTCTTTGTTTCAATATGGGTTTTCATATAATGAAAGGTGATTTAAAATGATAGTAATTAAACTATGGAAAGAATAAAGCAAAAATATTTTAAAACTATCTTATGTTTCTTCAAAATCAAGCTTTTAACTCTACACAAAGATTTCCTGGGTTAGTATTACAGATACCTGTGTAGATATTTCATCATCATGTCTATTAAAAGTCTGGGGTCTTACATGTTTCTATTTGTATCTCCTATTTTGAAAGAATTAATGGACAAATAAAACAGGAGACTTTAGTATGGTACTTTATACACTGTAGTATACTAAGCAAGAAAATCATAATATTGAAAACTAATGGTGCTCACTTCACCAACACATATACTAAAATTGGAATGATACAGAGAAGATTAACATGGCCCCTGTGTAAGGATGACATGCAACAAATTCACGAAGCGTTCCATATTTTTAAAACAGAAAATTTAGCCTGGCATGGTGGAACAAGCCTGTAGTCCCAGCTTCTCAGGAGGCTGAGGCAAGAGGATCACCTGAGCCCTGAAGGCCGAGGCTGCAGTGAATGGTGAAAGCACCACTGCACTCCATCCTGGGCAATGGAGTGAGCCCACATCTCAAAACAGAAAAACAAAAAACAAACAACTAATGAGAGAAAGGGATGTTTTTAAAAACAGATCATTTTAGTTCTAATGAATTTATAAAAATTAAAAACTTATTTTACGAGACATTAGAAAGTCCCAATACACACATTTGAATTCATTTCTATCCTTCACATCATATTACATTTTTAAATAAGCAATGACACATACTGAGCTTTAAAGCTTGACAGATTTAACAGAAAAACCAAAACCCCAAACCATACAGCTGGTAAATGAAATAATCATCCGTTAGTCTTGATATGTGGAGATCATATATGCTCTGCTTCAATCACCTGAAAAAAATGGTAAAATAAATCTATACTTCAGTCCATTTTAATTAAATTATATTTAATCAGCATTATCCAGGTAGTGCCATGAACAGTTTTTACTGCTATCATTTCAAAATATATTATAGGCCGGGTACAGTGGCTTGTGCTAGTAATCCCAGCACTTTGGGAGGCCAAGGCAGGTGGATCACCTGAGGTCAGGAGTTCAAGACCAGCCTGGCCAACAGGGTGAAACCCTGTCTCTACTAAAATAAATACAAAAATTAGCTGGGCATGGTGGCAGGCACCTGTAGTCCCAGCTACTTGGGAGGCTGAGGCAGGAGAATTGCTTGAACCTGGGAGGCAGAGGTTGCAGTAAGCCGAGATAGACCACTGCACTATAGCCTGGGCAACAGAGCAAGATTCTGTCTCAAAAAAAAAAAAAAAAAATATATATATATATATATATATATATAGAGAGAGAGAGAGAGAGAGAGAGAGAGCTTGCTCATCCATGTTAATAGAGGCCATGACTGTACAGATAAATGAAGTCCACAGATATTAATTTCTAACTCTTACTTCATTATATACATATAAGAAAATACTTCTGATTTATTTCTGAGATTTTCTATTAGGCATGTCTTAATCTTACACCTGAGTTTTATAGGAGATATAAAGTAGTAGAAATTTGACATAAATCAGAAATAGGATTAAATCTTAACTACAACTAACCCTGGGCAAGTTACTAGCCTTTTAAAACTTCAAGTTCCTCCTCTGTAGAGTTAACAACACTTACATAGTGGGGTTATTGAAAGGCTCTGCACCTACTAACACATAGTAGTTGCTCAGAAATGGCAACTTCTCTCTATTTTCCTACTTTTCCTCTGCCCTTCATTTGCTTCTGGCCCACTCTTTAGAATCTTGGAGCATATCATGCCATTGCTGAAATTTTCAGATGATCCATGAGAAGAAGCAATTAAAGAAGAAATTGAATTAATGTGATTTTGATTTTATTAGTTGAAGCGACCCAGTAGGAACTTTGACACAAAAGAAAGCAAAACTTTTATATCTACCAAACAAGCCTAAAAGGTATTAGGGTACTATAAATGGTTTATTTTTTCAACTAAAGTAACCCAGATTGTTCAAATTTTCCATCATTTAGCTTGGTATCTTTAATAAATGTTGGCCAGTCTAACAGCACTCACATTTCACTTTTGGTTTCTTCTCTTTTAATTTTTTCATCAAACATTTGTTCATATGCATTGTAAAAACAAATAGAAATTAACCATAGCAATAGCTAAAATATAAACCACAAATTTGACTGAGTCAGCGGAGGTTTTTCTGGGTAACCCCAAAATTCCATGTCTCTGCGTATTTCAGTCCCTTTGTCAACTTATTACATGATAAATGAAACAGATCAGAAGAACAGAGTAAAAGTTAATCCATCTTAAGAGTTCTATATGCTCTTGGTCAGATCCTCGATCCAAAAGGAAACCTGATCTAGGTTTTGAAAGCACTGTGGTGTCCCAGAATGATTTTACTTGATCAAGTTCCCAGAAAATACATGGTTGATCCTGATGACAAATTGTCAGAAAGTCAGTGGGGAAGTGCTCTGCTTCTCCTCAACAGAAAACATAAAAATCATATCTATTTTGTCTGTCTTAAAATTTTGATATAAGAGTCTTCTCTTTGTCATCGGGTGTGAATATTTATTATTTATTTTACAGTATGTGTTTTGTATTCAAGTGAGGAAATGAATAAAAGATAGTTTTCTCTGGAAATTTTCTCTATCCTTTCATTCTTTGTGTATTCTCTTGACTTCTAAATAACTATTGGTCTGCTTTACCCCTCAAAGCCTGACCTGCAGTTATTTAAGTTTGAACATAATGTGCCAAACATTTTGTTCACCATATTAAGCTATGTGTCGGGTACAAAGAATAACTTAAGGTTAGCTCTGGTACTCGAGGGATGTCCTGCTTGATTCTAGAGAGCACAGACCCAAAGCAGCATGTACACTCATGCATATCATCCATCCTATAGGTTGTATATTTCTTCCAAAATATTTGGAACCAGAAGTGTTTTGGACTTCAGATGTTTTTAGATTTTGGAATATCTGCAGTAAATATTTACCAGTTGAGCAGCCCTAATCCAAGAATCTGAAATCCAAAACGCTCCAATGAGCATTCTTTTGAACCTCATGTCAGTACTCAAAAAGTTTTGAATTTTGTAGCAGTTCAGATCTTGGATTTCCAGATTAGGGATACCCGAACTCTATATGCATACATGACTTGTAGGAAAGGATGAGGGGAAATGGTGAAAGAATAAGATGACCCAAGAAAGAGCCAATTATACTTAGGAAATGGCCAGTGGACATGGTAGTTAATAGTTGCAGATTCAAATATAATGGCAAAGCTTCACAGATTTCCCCTCTCCAATTTCATTACTTTCTGCTTCTGGGTCTCTAATTTACTCATAATGCCAGAAATGGGATCACTGCACAAGATATTTTCAATGTATTTTTAAGGCCTACTTATATCACTTATCATCAAGGAAGTGTTTTGGTTTCCTGCCACCTAGACAAGAGATCAAACAACACTTTGATTAAAATGAAATATTTATTGTGGACCTAACTGTAGTGCCAGTTTGTTGGTAAGCCAGGGAAATAACGTTGAAGGAAAGTTCAAAAACTGAATTGTTCAAATAATAGCATTTCCTTTTTTTCTTTCTACCATCTTTCTCAATTTCTGTGATGAGCTCGCCAATTAAAAATACATTTTGATCAAGGTCTGAAACTGATATACTTCTCAGAGTTCTGGACCCAAAACTATGAAAAAGAACCACAGAGGCATGCAACCAATAACCACCCAAATTTGAGTGAATTAGAACTTTTCCGTTTTGCCACACTAGTCTGAAAGCCACAGGCATTCCACCACCCCAGAAGGATCTGGAGAACTGATGGAGAGAATAAAAAATGAACGCAGATTGTACATAATTGTGTTGTTGTATTCTTATTTCAACAGCCATAGAAAGAACCCCAAGTTTCAATTCAAAGGCCTCCCTAGCAAAAATAATATTCTTCTCCTCAGCCTGTCTTGTACTGGTCCTTCGAAATCATCTCATATGTCACTTCCTCCAAGAAGCCTCCTCTAATATGCTTAATTGCAGACTGCAGGGTGTAGGCTTATGGTATCCTTTGCTCACCAGGGCATGAATTTCCCTATAAATCTGCAAACTATTTGTTAAACTCTAAAAACGTTGCCCTTTTCTATGCTCGGTGTTTTTCGAAGAGTTTGGATTGCGGTTTATATTCTAAAAGGTGGCAAAAAGCATGAATCAAACAGTTCTTTTACTTTTTTCCCCCAAGCACCTATCCTCTAATATTTTGGAACATTTTCCTCATTCCATTAATTCTCTATTTTGCTATAACCACATGGCCTTTACCTCCCAGTAACCTTGGCATTTATAGGCTAAAGGAACAATACTATAACAGCCAAGACTGGCCAGACAGGCTTTAAAACTCAGCACTGACTCTGGGATGGGGAAAATCTGATTTGTATGCGTGCGACTTTTGTAAAATAATTTGTAACTTAACTTAGATGACTTCACTAGGATTTAATAAAATCCTGTCATCACATTCAGGTTTCAGATTTTATGTGTTTGCTAAATGTGGTAGAATAATCCAGAGCTGCTTTCATTTCTTCAGTTTGAGAGACTGTATTATTTGAAAGAGAAGTTTTTGACGGTCAAAAAAGGAATATATTTCTCTGATACTGGAAAATAAAAGTAGATAAAATAAAAGTATTTTCTTAAAAATTATTTCTTTCTTTATTTTCTAGTTTTCCTGAGTCTAGGAAAACATTGCCTCTCTAATTTTACTAAAGTTAGAATTGAAATTAGTTCCTGAAAATAATATTTGGGATTAGGGGCAGTTTAATGTCTGGAACACACAGGTCTGGAAGTGAGAAAATCTTGGTCTTATCCACCTTAAAATATTCAGACATATCTTTTTAAAAACTAAATCGGATTATGCCATGCCTGTTCTCAAAATCACCCTGTCCTCCTGACCCCTGTCCAATAAAATCTAGTCTTTTTTTTTTTTTTTTTTTTGATACAGAGTCTCGCTCTGTCACCTAGGCTGGAGTACAGTGGCGCGATCTCGGCTCACTGCAACCTCCCCGCTCTACTCACTGTTTCTCAAATCACCAGCATGTGCACACCCCAGGGCTTTTGCACTCACTGTTGTTCTGCTTAGGATGTGCCTGTACCAGATAGCTGAAAGGCTTCTCTTCTCACTTCATTCAGGTCTCTGCACAAATGTCACCTCATCAAATGGGCTTTTCTCATCACTATTACAATAGTGTCCCTTCTCATTCTCTGACTTTTTATCTTGTTTAATTTTTCTTCAGAGCACTTATCATTATGTGGCCTATTATATATTTACTTGTTAAAATTCTTTAACTGTTTCTTCAACCCTAATGTAAATTTCACAAAAGCAGAGATTTTTGTCTCTTTTTGTTTGCTGCCTAGTTCTTGTTCACTGTTGTTGCCTGGTGTCTATAATAGTACCTGATGCTCAGTAGGCACTCAGGAAATACTTGTTGCAAGTATTTATATCTGTCAAATGAATAAATAAATCTTTGCATCTATTTCCTAAATGGATGCAGAGTTAAGATGATAAAATAGGCAATAAATACAAATTTTATATATATATATATATATATATATATATATATATATAAAACCTCATAAGAAAGTAAAATAAGAATATGGCTAGAACACTTTCATTTCTTTTCCAAAAATTGTGGTGACTTTAAAAATCACCTATGGGCAAACTCATTATTTTTCATAAATTGAGAGGCATCATGGTTAAATTAATTTTTTTAACAAACCTTCTGTTACGGTTTGGCTCTGTCCCCCCACCCAAATCTCATGTTGAATTGTAATACCCAGTGTTGGGGGAGGGACCTGGTGACCTGGTGGGAGAGGAGTGTATCATGGGGGTGGATTTCCCCCTTGCTGTTCTCATGATAGTGGGTTCTCATGAGAACTGATGTGTGGCACTTCCTCCTTCACTCTTTCTCTCTCCTGTTGCCATGTGAAGATGTGCTTGCTTTCCCTTCTCCTTCTGCCATGATTGTAACTACGTTTAGGCTTTCCAGCCGTGTTTCCTGTACAGCCTGCAGAACTGTCAGTCAATTAAACCTCTTTTTTTCATAGATTACCCAGTTTCAGGTAGTTCTTTATAGCAGTGTGAGAATGGATTAATACACCTTCATTGATTTTACAGGACTTTTTCATACTGGCTTCAAAGTATCCTTCATCTTCATAAATGAAGAAAGCTATCTTGGAGCAAGGAAAATGTCGGAAGTAAAGGTAGAATGGAACACCATTATGTGATAATATGTCTGAAGGACCCAGAAATGCCCAGATCCTGCTATAAGGCATAGTCACTACTCTGCTAGTTAGCAGCTTCTGAGATAATCAGACAAAGGATGACGACAAATGGGAAGCAAGGTTACTGTTGCCCAGGCTTTGCCTCAATTTTCTTTAGTAGTAAACCTGGCAGAGTCTAATACTCATGTGCAAGGAGCATTACCTCCCTCACCCAAGCTTAGATCCTAGTCTTCTCTTCTCTCTACACCTTCTTGCCAATGACATAATGGCGTATCTGAGCCTCAATCACACTTGAGATGAGAAGGATTTTTCTGTCCCCATCTTAACTCTATTTCTCAGCTACATTCCCATATTTTACCACTACTCCCATTCCTTCTTGGCTTTGCCATGCCACACTCTCCTGATTTTCTCTCTTTGTCCTTACCCCTCCATTTAAGTTTCCTTTTCTGATTCTCCCCTTTCCCCATCTCTAAATGTTATGATCCTCAAGGCTCAGTTTTGGAATCTTTTAGTTTTTCTCCTCACAATCTCTCTCTAGGATGTGTCATTCATTCCTACAAATGTATTTATTTTTAATGTTTTATTTGTAGAAAAGTTCAAACAAAACAAGATTAAATTTAGATTAACTGACTACAATAAACCATAACTGAATTGTACATTTTAAAATAAAGAGTGTAATTTTGTTGTTTGTGATGCAAAGGATAAATGCTTGAAGGGACAGATACCCCATTCTCTATCATGTGCTTATTTCACATTGCATGGCTATATCAAAACATCTCATGTACTCCATATATGTATATATACCTACTATGTACCCATAGAATAAAAAAATAATAAATTTGGATTGAACATCCATATTCAACAATTATCAACATATGGTCAATCGTATTTTATCTAAACTTCTACTCCCTGATTTCTTCTCACTGGGTTATTGTAAAGTCATTACCAGATATTGTATCATTTCACCTATAAATGCTTCGATATATATTTCTAAAAGACAAACACTATTTTATATAACTAAAATACCAATCAAATTTAGAAAAAATTAATAGTTACTTAATAGAAGCAAGTATCCAGTGTTTAAATTACTCTTATTGTTTATGTTTTTAAACAGTTGGTTTGTTTGAATCATGAGCCTAACAAAACATGAACATTACATTTATTTAGGAAGTCCTGTGAACTTCCTCATTGCATCATATCAAGAGGCACATAATGTCTAGTTGCATCATCTGTAAAATAAAATAAAGTCTATGTTTTCCAACTTTATGGCCACATTGTAAAATGGGGTGAGTGGGCAATAGGGCCTGAAAAGCCAGCTCATCTCTTTGTCCCTGCTGGTTAGTAGAGATTTTATAATTCTGGGTTGCAAAACTATACTTTGTTTTGCTTCTCAACTCTTCTATAACCTGCAAGTAATTTACTCTGTTAAATTAAAGCTGTTTGAAAGACCTAGAGTGTTTACTGCTCTTGTGTGTTTACTGCTCTTGGCTAAACTGCTTGATGCAGACAAGATCACAAGTTTAATTTTGGAGATTATGAGGCTGAGGTGCCCTTAGATCCAATGAACACAAAACCTAACACTCCTGCCATCACCTACAAAGCACATGTGATCTATCCCCATCTACCTGTCCATCCTCTTCATATATCACCCTCTCCCTTATTCAACCACGCTTACCACACTGGTCTTTCTGTTTTGTTTTTGTTTTTGTTTTCAAAAGTGCTAAGCTCTTTCTTGCCACAAACCTTTGAAACAGCAGTTTTCTATACTTGGGATTTTCTTACTGCAGCCTTTCTCAAAACTGGCTTCCTCTTGGTTGAAATACACCCTTCGCAGTGAGATGTCCTCTGACAATCCTACCGACCTACTGGGCTCCTTACCATTGTCCATTATAGCAGCCTGCTCTTTTCATTTACAGCACTTAGCATAATCTGTAATTATTATATTATTTTGGATCCTTATTTAATGTCTAGATCATAAAATATATTATAAACTCCACAAGAGCAGGAGAGAAAAATCATGTCTACTTTGATGGCCTTTATATTCTTGTGGGTACCCACTGTACCCCAGAAAATTGCATCTAGAATGAATGAATGAATGTGCTCCAGAGCCCAGGGGCAGGCCCAGGTTTGGCCAGTTTATAGCCTATGCTGCAGGGAAGCAGGAAGTATCAGAGTAGACCACACTAATGTGCAGACTCTTCTGAAGTACGATGACCCAGCACAATGGATATATGTTTAAACAAATATCCTGGATTTTGACCCTCTTGAGAAACTGGGTCAAGAATTTTTTTTCTCCTCTAGAAAAGACAAGATAAATTTAACCAACTTGAAATATTGGGTAAGAAATCCAGCTATTGATTGCTTGATGAAACCAGAACCACTAGACTGCTAAGCATGTAAGATAATTTTAAGATAAAAATATTTAAAGCAAATTTACAGGATGCATAATTTTTTTATTTTTTAGGGTCTCACAAAAGACTTTCTTCAATAAACTGCAGGTATCTATAACATTTGATATTTGATTTTGATAATCTTGGTAGATGTGTGTATAGTGCCCTATGTGTTGGAAATCTTGTAAGGAATATGTATTATGCTGGTGTTCAGCTTTCTAGGCACCAGGAAATTAAAAAATTATATTGGCCCAAGGACAGCTTTTTCATAGATGCATAAAATATCTGGAATTTCAAATAGAGCTATGAGGACTCATTTTATAATAACAGATAAGTGCTAGTGTCCCACACACAACATTCAAATATTATTTAATAAAATTTTAAAGTTATGGAGAAAGCAGCTTTCTATAAATTCCCATGCATACAATGTTTAGGTAATTTGCAAGTATTGAAGTAAAATTTGAAACATATTTTACCAAAGACAGAGAAGGAATAAAGGGCTGTGATAAAAGTATGGACAAGATTTGCAAGTTTGTCTCCCTATCTGCTCAAAAGTATGAATAACAAGGTCTTGGATACAGAATAGTTTTGGGAAGAGAAGCAAATTAAAGCAGATAAAACTAAATACCTTTTTTCTTAGTCCATTTTTAAAATGTCTTTATGCAAGAATAGCCAGTGGAAAAAAATTATTATAATAGTATTATATCCAGTTTGTTGGATGTAACTCTCAATACTTTAAAACACGATATATGACTAATCAGTTGTTTGCAAAACATTTAAAATGCCCATGTCAGATTACAACCTGACCACTGAAATCTTCCCAGCACGTTGCTTCCTTTCTTCTCACTGGAATGAGACTTATGGATTGTTTAAGCAGAGAATCGCAGTTAGCAGCAGCATGCTGTGCATCTAAAAATCCATCAGGAAACTGTGATCACTGGACTCATATCTGCAGTAGCAATTCATTCCTAAGAACCCCCAGTAGATGCAAAGTTTGCCTACGTTCACGGAGTGTAGTTGCTTGCTGAGTTTTGCATTCCCGAATTATAGTGCTTTGTAGAGATGGGGAATGAAGGCAGAAAGCAGTCATGTTGAACATTGTCTTTCTCCATCCACTTTATACTAAAACCTCCAGAATTACTTATTGATTCCACAGCTTAAAATTATGTCCTTAATTATTACTAATAAAACAACAATTTTTGATGCCTTATAGGCATCAAGTTTTGTATATTGTGCATTTATTTATCCTATCTCCTGTGATTTAATAGAGATTTTAGAATTAAAATGTAAACTTGTTTGGGGTAAAAATAGATACTTTGAAATAATTCTACAATGCATGTCTTTCTATGCTATTTGTCATAGTCATTTATGAAATATATAGGTATATTTACTAAAGAATAAGTGAGTGGACTGTTTATTGCATCTTTTGCCATCTCTGTATAGAGATACAGCATTTGCTATAATTTCAGTCTAGTGAATATTTATATTTGTCTGTGCCACTTAAAAATTTCCAGGAACCTTCTACTGTTCTTCACACACAGAACTGATGCTATTAACCTGGAGAATTTGATTCTGCTTTGGGTCTCAGGAGTGGTGATAGGATAGTACTGAGCCATACATCTGCTTGCTCCCATTGTGAGATCATTTCTGATAAACAGCATCCATGTCTGAAAGGTTTTGCTGAAAGCTGGTGTGTGATTTTAACCATAGAAAAGAGTGAGGTTAGTCTCTTCATAAAGAAATCACTGTGTCTGCTTCACTCTTCATTTAACCATAGGAATTAAATGGTTCCAGACATAGCAACAATTATTTTTATGCTTTCAAGTATATAGTCAATCCAATATTGAATATTGTTCCCTTCTCTAGGTTTGATCAAATTTACCTTGTTAAAGACACTCAATTGTTTTAAAGAGCAAAAGTAACCTATTTATTCTACTATTTTCTCATTAATTTTCCATCAGTGAGAACTAAGCACACTTCTGCATCTATTTTACAATGATTTTTTTTGTTCACTCACCTCCAGTTCTTACTCTATTTTTATTGCCAGAATTTGATTAAGGCAATTGTTAAGTGTACACAGAGTATAACTCAGAAAATAGTCAGAATTATCTTTAATATTGTTAAAGTTGGAAGAAATAGAAAACTCACTCACTAGTTTTCTGTAGGAAATAAAATGCAAAATTTCTTAAGAGGAAAAATGGGTTCCTTCTAAAGTTTAGCAAGAAAGATTAAACACTACATGGCTTTTGATAGGTGTGGTGAAACTCAGAAATAATTAAAAGCAGCTTTAGGGTTAAATTAAAGTAGCAATATGTTTTATTTCTCATTTATCTGAAATGAAACAAAAATCTCAACTACATTACTCTTGTAACTGTTCACAAAAACTGTTGGTTTGCCCTCAGATTTTTCAGCAACTTAAGACACTCTTTTCCCCTTTTTATTAGAGGAATCACTTAAATAGTAGAAAAAAATGGCTAAATCAAAACTCCCACATCCACTTAAAAAATACAACTGTGGTTCTTCTTCCTTCCTTTTGAAAGAAAAGAATCACACAAAATACATTTTTTTTTTTTTGAGACAGAGTCTCGCTCTGTCACCCAGGCTGCAGTGCAGTGGCGCGAATATTGGCTCACTGCAACCTCCGTCCCCTGGGTTCAAGCAATTCTCCTGCCTCAGCCTCCTGAGTAGCTGGGATTACAGGCATGTGCCACCATGACTGGCTAATTTTTGTATTTTCAGTAGAAACAGGGTTTCACTATGTTGGCCAGGCTGGTCTTGAATTCCTGGCCTGAAGTAATCTGCCCACCTCAGCCTTGCAAAGTGAAGAAATAATTTTTAAAGAAGTATGGAAAACAGTCGTTCTCTACCCCCAAGTGAATTGTATGAATCTTTAATCATCAACAGTCTAATACTTTTCCAGTTACCAGAACTTAAACTAATTCTGTGCTTTATTCTCAGTTTATATTATAAACCAGCATTGAAAGCAAAATTGAAATCCTGAAAATTAAAATACATAGAAAACTAATATCATTATGTTCTTCTATTCATATCCAGTCCCCACTAACATCTGAGGTATTTCACATAATCTAAACATTTATTTGAACAGTTTGCTATAGCTATTCATCCACTTACCCACTGCTTATTACCTGGTCTATTAGATCTGTGAGAGAACATGGAAACAAAATCTGTACCTTAAGGAATTTACAGAAGACTGTCAGTCATCTAAAATACTCTGTGGACATCTGGAATTTCTGAGAGCATATACTGTCCTCCTCTCTTTCTTTGGGATACCCTTGAGGTCAAGGGTCCTTTATATTCTCAAACCTATGTTCAAGTTAATATTAAACAAATATCTCTTGGCTGACAACTGTCACCAACTCTAGATTTCAAATGTTTTGAAAACTTTGAAGCAAATATTACTTAAAATTTGAATTTTTATTGCCATATGTCATTTTATTTCCTGGTGACAGTTGTGAAAAAGGATTTCTAAACTGAGTGGAAGCTTTACATCTTCAGGGATAAAGCCCATTGGGTTGTCATAAGCCCAATGATTTCTAGGCTCAAAGAGTTTAGATAAGCACTCAGCACTTGGGGAAAGCTTGTAGGTTCTACAGCACATAATTACTATGAATTATCTAACTATTAATAACTGCAGTTTCTTGGATGATTCATACATTTTTGCAAGGCTTTGTAAACAAAACTGAGTTTTTTTTTTCTTTGAAAAGACAAAGATAGGAACTCAGGATAATAAATAGGAATAAGTTTTTGAAGAAAAAAATGCTAGCATAAAGGGGAGTGAGGAAAAAAAGGAGGAAACTAATATTTCAGACACCTTCCATGTACCAGGCACAGTGGTCCTCAAGCTACATAGAAGCTTGTCTTATCTAATTAATGTTCGCAATGACACAGTGAAGTAGGCAGTATGATCTCCATCACAGAGACAAGGTAAGCAACTTGCCCAAAGTAATCCCAATAGCAAGCGGAGGACTAGAATCTAAACCCAGACTGGGTAGCTGACTATAGAACTTACAATCTGACCAGCATTATTCCTCTGTGGCATGTCATTTCAAGCTACACTGAACATCAGTTAAAATAGAAGTCTCAGCCTTAGAAACATAATGACATTCAATAACTACAGAACAAATAATAACAAGGAGAAATGAAAAGGGGATAGGAGGGAGAGAAAAAGGGAGGGAGGAAGAGAGGGAGGCAAAGAAGGAGGAAAGAAAGGAAGAAATAAAGAAAGAAAGGGAAGAAAAGAAGGAAGGAAGGGAAGGAATGAAAGGAAGGAAGGCAGGCAGGCAGGTTGCTGAAATGCCACATCACTCCTACTATTACCAGTTACTGTCTCTATTAAGTGAACTTCTTTAATTTTGCTAAGAGCTAGTCTGTTTTTAATGCAGTAAAAAATACCTTAACATGGTCTACTAACTCTTCTGGCACAATTTCTATGAATTTTATATGTATTTTTTTCTGGAAATGTAACATCATTAAAACTAAAAAAAAAAAAAAAAGCTCTCATCGAATTGAAGTATTTAGCACGGGCTGACATATTCTAATGTTACCATAGCTTTTATAGTGGTTTTTATTGATTCTTATTGTCTAAAATAACAGAAATATGCAACATGTTAGAAGGGTTTGGGGCACAAAAAGTTTTATGAGGGAAGTAAGCTTGTGTGACAGCTGATATAGACACAAATGTCCCCCTAGTTTCCCAGGTTCATTTTGGAATAAACGTGACTTTTAAATTTCCAGGTACTAGTTTCCTCTAAGAATATCTAACTCAGAACCATATTAAAAGTTGTAAGACTACAATATGCCCAATTAATATGCATCTAATATTCCTTGATTTAGAGTTATCTGACAATAATATGCCAGCCTTGCCAGGAACTAGGTGTGTGACCTGTGGAAAGTCACTCAACCACTCTGTGTTGTTTTATTTTTCTTATTTGTAAAAGGAACTTAATAATTGAACCTTTCTCATACTTATGGATGATATAGGTTTTAACAATTTTACTAAAGGTTGACTAAAATGTTAGAAATCTATTCATGCAAACAACAATATTTGCAAACTTTTAATATTAGTCAAGGTGATATTTTGGTTAAGAAATGATGACCATCTCTTAGAAAATTAAAGAGGAATTTTTATGGTATCTTGCTGACATATAAATTTTTTAAACATCTTTAAAAATCAATAACGTATTTATGTACAGATCACAGCAATATTTTTTGAGAAATGTATTTCAAACAAATATCTTTAATTCCATCCAAAAAACAATTGAGATTCTAATATGATTTAATTTTCCTGGGGACAGTCATTCTTTACCAACTGATAAGTAAATATTTCAAAATTTTAGCTACTGGAAACTTCAAGTTACAGGGTATTTTTTGTATTGTTCCCTCTGCGTGGAATATTCTTTATTCTTAGATGGTGAGTGAAATGCTTGTAAACCTTACAGACTGTCTGAAGAATATACTTGCATGTCAAGCAAACTGGGGAAACCATTCACCTTTTACAAATATATAAAACAAGCTCAGCTGAACACCATTGTTTCTCCTGCAGTATGATCATCTCTCACACAAAAACACAATAAATCCATTTAAGAATCATCACACTTCATCTCATACAGTTTCCTTGAGTACAGTAGAACCCTTACTGTTGACTATTTCTTGAACATGATGGAAAAATTATAGTTTAAAATATTATTTTGTGAAAAAGCCTCAAGTCCATTTAGAGATGAAATGAAGCCCAAATCAAATGTCATACAGTCACAGTTTCAACCCTGGCTGACCACCCTGATCCGATCCTGTCAGAGAATGCTAAGACATGTCCCAGCTAATCATCACATTAGTCCTAAAAGTAACTAAGAACATTACTTTTAGTTTTAAAAGTAACCACCTTCCATGTCTCAGGCTACGCTGGAAGTATTGGAGGTGAGGTATTAATTTTAAAGCCTATAGGTAGATCATCTAAAAATCATGTTCTGTTCCTGTCATAAAGGGTGCATTTAAGTCTCTTCCTGTTCTCTCTTCTCTTCTCCATTGTGTAGCAAAGAAAAATTGATGGAGCATGAAAATCTCGGGCTAATAATAGTATATGAAAGAAGAACAGAAAGTGTGTGCCAAGGTGTGACCCACTGAGAGAACCCTGGAGACAAGAGTGTACAGATAATGTATCACGTAATTCTAGATTTTGTCATGAATTCCATGATGTATTAAAATAATTATTTCAGGATATTATTGTCCCATTGGCTTCAAAGGATAATGCAGAAAAACTAAGAGCCTCAGAATTTTTTTAAAGAAAATCAAATTAGCTACCACATTAAAAGTCTATTTTTATTTCATTGTTGATATTTTCCAAGAAAAAATATATTTCTAAAATCTTCGGAATCCATTTGTGTGTTACCTTTTAAAACATAGGAAAAAGGTAAAATAGGCCATCAGCTGAAAACACTTGTCTCTCCTGCAGTGCGATAATCTACTCACATGAAAATATAATGAGTCACTTTAAGAATCATCACACACATCTCTTGCAGTTTGCCCAAGTGTTGGGAATTTGTCAGGAAGAAAGCTACCTATCATCTGGTCTTTGGGACCACCATGTGATACTATTCCAAGATTCTGAAAATCCAAGCAATCTCATTCACTGAGAGAATAGTCAAATGATGTGTACTTTGTGAAAGTCATACAATAAAAAGAAAAACATAACAGTAAATCAGTTTTATACTTTAAATGTGAAATTTTAGATCCCAGTGTGTATCACAGAACACAGTGCAATCATTGTTAGTTTCATTTTTTTCCCTTAAAAAACTGCAAGGTATTATAAATTGTGAATAATTTAAAACATTAAATGGTTACTAACAAAACTTCAGACTATCAAAGCAATATAATTTATTTGTCTTTGTCTTATACTAATTAAAATGTACTACTTCCCTTACTACTTTGGGGCAAGGCTAAGGAACAATGACCTTTAATACATGTTGACTAAGAAGCTAACTATAAACTGTTATGTTGGGTTTATAAGTCATTACCATTGAGCTGTTATTCATCCTAAATCTTAAACATTTGAACACATTTCAATTCATGTAAACAATAGAAAATCAAATGAGAATATGAACAAAATAAAGTGATTTTCATAATTAAAGGCTTAAAGGTATAGACACATGAAAAAAACTTCTGTTTCTGCTTAGAAGAATATGCCAGAAACGTTCCATTCTGCACACTATTGTGATAGTACTTCAGCAAGGTCTGGGGAATAAATTTATCTTCAGAATAATCCTCCCTACCCTTTAAATTTATTACATGTATACACTAGGATATAAAGGTCTATGTTAAGTTGGATACTTCCTGACATGCTTTGCTTGACTTACTCCAACCATCACTCTGTATTTCATTCAGTGCCAAACTTCTTACAGAGTATATCTATATCCACAGCTACTAATTCCACAGCTATTAATTTCTTAGGCTTGCAGCCTAGCGTCTGCCCTCACCATTCTAGGGGAACAGTTCATCTTAAGGTCTCTAACCTTCTAAATGACTAGGCCAACAGGTTGGCTCATAGTCCTAACACCCATACCCCATCATTTTCCTTCAGGGCCTGACTTCACTGATCACTCCATTTTGAAACATCTTTCACTTTTGGTTTCCAAAACACGGTACAGCTTTGTTCTCCTCCCATATCTCTGACCTTGTTTTTCTGCTGTATGTGCTGGCTCCAAACTTTCTCCTACCTTCTAAATATAGATTGTCTCCTTGGACCTCTTTGCTGCATCCTGTTCTTTAGGTAGTCTCACCTGGCTTCACAAAGTTATCACATTTATACCATTGACACCTGCATCTCCAATCCCGGTCTCAACATTCCCCTTCAGGTTTCAATTTAGTTGCCTGACAACCCTGCTACATGACCTACCTGTACCTTAAAAATTCAACTTGTCCTGCGAACATTAGCATATTCTCTACAAGGTCAGCTCTTCTTGCTTTCCCTGTGTATTTTTGGAGGCACCATTCACCCTCAGTCATCTAAGTTCAAATGCTTCCATCATGATTGACTGCTTTGGTTCTGTCACTCCTGGCATTCCATTCCTCCAATTTTAATTTGGGACACATGTACTTTGCCATTGTAGTGTAGGCTGTCACATCTTGCACAGTCCTTACCACCTGTCTGCACAACTTTTTTGTCCACGTTTAAGATTCATATGATTCATCGTCAATTGTACTTGAAGTGGATCTTTCTCATCAAGCTGTCCCCCATTCCCTGTTTACCTCTACATTACAGCACAGAGTTAATGCCCTTCACCATAACAACAACAAGAACAACAACAAAAATACGCATGTGTATAATAGGTGCAAGTTTCAAAGACCACAAACTTGGTGTGTAAAATGTAACTTTCTTTCTCTGAAAAGAAATTTAATTTCTAGTTAAATACCCATTCCTCAAGGAAGTCAGGATGGGCAACTTTTAGATGCTTTTTCATTCAGTGGTGTTGTCTCTGATGCTGTTTTCCCAATATTCCTTACTGTCATTTCTCCTCTTTTCACCAGTTGGTGGTTCATTGCCCCCTCCTCAGAGGCTGCATGCCAAAAAGTGAGGGTGAGGTCCTCTCTGCTACTAGGTCCTCAATCTCTTTGTGGTTCTTCTGACAAAAAGATCTGGATTCAAGAGCCCCTCCTCGTGAATACTTCCTAGCACCTACCTCCTTTACTTCCCCATTGCTTTTTCTTTCTGTTCTCCAATTCAGAGAACTGTAATATCTTGGGGATGACAATAAGGGATTAAATCCTAGAATCCTTTCCTGTAGGGAAGAATCCAGATTATCTAATGGACTTTATTTTCTTACTTGCATTCATGCTATAACAACTTTACCCCCTGGTCATAAGAATAGAACACAGCAGATGCTTCCTGCATGGAAGGAAGGTAGGGGCAGAAGGAAAAAGGGGGAAAGAAGCATAGCTTATTACAAAATGTCATGTCATGACATTATAGTAGCAGAACTTAAAGACCACTTCAGAAAGGATTATTGCCAAGCTGCAGTACAGCACTTTCTCCTCACTGCTCTTTGGAAGGAACTAGCCGTTGCACTGTTATATGTGTGTAACTCTTTATGGAAAGAATTATTTTAGGTAAATATATGGGCAATATATGCATTTTGTTTGGCTTGTACACAATATATGCATTTCTTTGGCTTGGCTTAAACCTTTTTAAAAAGTGTTTTTTAATTGAGAATTTTCACATAAAATCCACATTTTCTGCTTTTTTAGAAAAATATAAAAAATTGGCAACATCAGGAACTTGTACAAAATTGACTTAAATACAGCTTGTAAAGTCGGATAGAGAAACATGGTGAGTAGGCAAGGAGACAGAACTAATATCAACTAAGCACTTTCTATGAGCTCGACAACTGCACACACGAACACACACACATATCATTGAATCCTTGAAGTTAGGGAGGTAAGATGTTATTATTCTCATGTCAAAAAGCTAGCAAGTGACAGAGACAGGAAAGGAACCTGCATCTCTCTCACAAGGAAAGCACACTACTAGACAAGAAATGGCGAGAAAAGAATGTAGTCTCAATGCATCTAAATCTCAGTGGTACCTTCTGGGAATGAGAATGCATAGAAACCAACAGACCAAACAAAATACCAAAATCTACGCTACTGCCATTCTTTGCTGCTTTGAAGCAAGTCTCTTTTTGCCAGAGTTCTCTTACTTCCTAGGCAGTCAAATTAAGTAGCTACAAGTCAGAACATGACAGATTTACTTTAAAGCTATCAACAATTCTATACTTTGGAGTACTTCTAGTCACTATTATCACAGATGCTTCCTTTCCAAGGATGGCAGAAATCTCTGTGATAGAAAGAATATAAATAACCTGTATTTTACTTCAGATTGCCTTGGTCCTTTTCAAAATAGGAGAAGGCATACAACAAGTTATATTAGCGCAGCTCTTTCCACTGCCTCTATAAATGCATAAAGTAGCAATTTTCTTTCTAAACCAAATCTGTTTGGCAAGATATAATTGCTGTTATAAAAATTTAAAAATGGTCCTCTTCAGGGGAGTTTACACCTTTCAGATATTTTTGAGCTATTGTCATGACGTTCACCTTTCCCTGTGGACATATTTGACTCCTTTAATCATGGCTAATAAATCAATCCTTTCATCCTCTTAATTTTTCTTGTTATTCTCTGAACTCCATCCAGTTGGCTTATATGTATTTAGTAATGTGCAAACCAAAACTAAATGTAATATTCCAACTGTGTTTTTTTTCAGTATTACAAAGGTGATATTTTAAAAGCTATTGATTCCCTGTAAAACATGTTTAAAAAAAAAAGAAATCAGAGAAAATGAAAGGAAATAGTGAGAAAGAAATAGTAAGGGATCCTATTAATGTTGCAACTTTGTGATTTATTTATGGATATTCCCTGATTTCAATTATAGGAGGCTTATTACTATTAGTTATTTAACTAACTATGCAATTCAAGTTATTTCCAGAGGTGTTTTTTTTTTTTTTTTTTTTTTTCCAGCGGGGAGGATGGAGGGATATTGTTTGTCTATTGTTTTTAGCACATAAAACTCTCGAGTTATTTATTTAACCCTATCCCTATGGCCAGAGTCCTGCTAGTATTAGACTAATTCCTCAAGTAATTTACACCTACTTGTCATACTAAATCACCAAGCGGTATACATTCTAGACTGTCCGTTATAGGAGGGCACTCACCTCAAGTTAATTTGCTGCTTCTTGGACCCCTGCTGCCACTGTTTCTCTGAAAAAAAGATGAACCATATCCCTTGGTCCAGCTGCCTTGCCTGACAAATCTATTTGTTATAGAAAACTGCTGCGGAGCTTCTCTTGTCCTTCACTGGCTCACTCTGGTGCTGGCATCAGTCTTCCTCTATCGCTCTTTCTTACAGTGGGTCAACAGTCTTGTTGTATTGAAAAGTTCCAAAATGTGGTAGCTGTTAATTCAAAGTTTATTTTAACTTAAAAATTTGACCTTTGTTTTAAATATAATTCATCTCCAATTTTGGAACTTCCTTGAAATATTCCCATTTGAATTCAAGAAATAAGTGTTATTTCAGTAATAACATTGATGCTTTTTAGCTAAGGTAGAATAGAAGACTGGCTTTGAGTATAAGATTCTGGAACCAAACTACCTACATTTGAAAGCCAATCCATCCACTATCCTGTGTAATGAGACACTTAAATGCTCTCTGCCTCAGTTTCTGTCACAATAAAATGGGAATTTTATAATTTTGAAGTATGTTCCTTCAATATCTAGTTTATTGACAGTTTATAACATGAAGGGAAGTTGAATTTTATTGAAAGTTTTTCTGCATCTCTTGAGATAGCCATCTATGACAGATCCACAGCCAACATCATATTGAATGGGGAAAAGCTGGAAGCATTCCCCTTGAAAACTGTCACAAGACAAGGATGCCCTCTCACTACTTCTATTCAACCTAGTATTGGAAGTCCTAGCTAGAGCAATCAGGCAAGAGAAAGAAAGGCCATCCAAATAGGAACAGAGGAAGTCAAATAATCCCTGTTTGCTGACAACATGATTCTATATCTAGAAAACCCCACGGTCGTAGCCCAAAAGCTCCTTTAGCTGATAAACAACTTCAACAAAGTCTTGGGATACAAAATCAATGTACAAGAATCACTAGCATTTCTCTACACCAACTACAGCCAAACTGAGGGCCAAATCAGGAGCACAATCGCATTCACAATTTTCACCAAATAAATTACCCAGGAATACAGCTAACCAGGGAGGTGAATGATCTCTACAATGAGAATCACAAAACACTGCTCAAATAGATCAGAAATGACACAAACAAATGGAAAAACATATCCTGTTCATGGATCAGAAGAATAAATATTGTTAAAATGACCATACTGTCCAAAGAGGTTTCCAGACTCCATGCCGCTGCTATCAAACTACCAATGATATTCTTCATAGAACTAGAAAAAACTATTTTAAAATTCATATGGAACAACCAAAAAAGCCCGAATAACCAAGGTAATTCTAAGCAAAATGAAAAAAGCTGGAGACATCATGTTACCTGACTTCAAACTATATTACAGGATTACAGTAACCAAAACAACATGGTACTGGTACAAAGACAGACACATAGACCAAAGGAACAGAATATAGAGCCCAGAAATAGGACTGCACACCTACAACTATCTGATATTCCACAAAGCTGACAAAAAAAAAAGCAATGGGGAAAGGATTATCTATTCAATAAATGGTGCAAGGATAACTGCTACCCATATTCAGAAGATTGAAATTGGACCCCTTCCTTACACCATATACAAAAATCAACTCAAGATGGATTAAAGACTTAAATGTAAAACCCAAAACTATTATAACGCTGGAAGACAAACTAAGCAATACCATTCTAGGCATAGGAATGAGCAATTATTTTATGACGAAGATGCCAAAAGTAATTGCAACAAAAGCAAAAATTGACAAATGGGATCTAATTAAATTTAAGAGCTTCTGCACTGCAAACAAAACTATCAACAGAGTAAACAGACACCTCACAGAATGGGAGAAAATATTTGCAAACCATGCATCTGACAAAGGTCTAATATCCAGCATCTATAAGGAACTTAAATTTACAAGGAAAAACAAATCACCCCATTAAAAAGTGGGCAAAAGACTTTAATACACACTTTTCAAAAGAAGACAAGCCAACAATCAAATGAACAAAAGCTCAATATCACTGATCATTAGAGAAATGCAAATCAAAACCACAATGAGATACTATCTCACACCAGTCAGAATGGTTATTATTAAAATGCTGAGGAATAACACATGCTGGTGATGTTGCGGCAAAAAAGGAACATTTATAAACTGTTGGTGGGGGTGTATATCAATTCAATCATTATGGAAAGCAGTCAGGCAATTCCTCAAAGAGCTAAAAACAGAACTGAAATTTGACCCAGCAATATCATTTTTGGGTATATACCTGGAAGAATATACATCATTCTACCATAAAGACACGTGCATGTGAATGTTCATTACAGCACTATTCACAACAGCAATGACATGGAGTCCACTTAAATGCCAATCAGTGACAGACTGAAGAAAATGTAGTATATATACACCATGGAATACTATTCAGCCATAAAAAGAATGAGATCATATCTTTTGTAGGAACATGCATGGAGCTGTTCCCAATGCAGGAACAAAAAACCAAATACCACATCTTCTCACTTATAAGTGGGAGCTAAATGATGAGAACTCATGGACACAAAGAGAGGAACAATAGATACTGGGACCTACTTGAAGGTGAAGGGTGGTAGACAGGAAAAGAGCAGAAAAGATAACTATCGGGTACAAAGGCTTAGTACCTGGGTAAGGAAATAATCTGTATAACAAATCCCTGTGACACAAATTTACCTATGTAACAAACCTGCACATGTAACCATGAACCTAAAAGTTAAAAAAAATAAAGTGGGGATATTAATAGGAGTACCTGTTTCACAGGGTAGTGAAAGTAAATGAGTATGGAGATGTAAACACTATTATTTTCTTAAAATTATTTTGTATTATTTTGTTACAATTATAATTTAGTTACAAGAACTACTGAAGAACTGCCAGTTCATTGAGCCAAATGATAAGATACCAACCCCCTGTCAGCTGCCCAACAAAAATGGTCTCTGCCTTTAAGGATGTTGACTTCTAGATAGAAATTCAAATATGTATACACACAAAGATGACTATCATAGGGCAGTAGATATGTGTTCTTCAGAATCTTTCATTCAGTATAAACTTTGAAGCTATTAATCACTGGACATCTGTAAGCTGTCAATACAAAATCTGTCTTATTCTTCTAAGCCTTCTTCATAACCAGTTGGCTCTGTCCTTACATTGAGCAATCGATCATATGCATTTACTCTAGGTTTCCTTAATTTATATCCCAGTTGGGAACTGACTTTTTTAGCAGAATTAGACATGTAATATTAAAGTCCTAAAATATACAAGAGTTTTAACTAATACATCTATCTATCTATCTATCTATCTATCTATCTATCTATCTATGTATCCATCCATCCAACCACCCACCCACCCAACCATTCCTCCATTCATTCATCCATCCACTTATGTCAGGTCTTCCTTATGTTTTATAAGGGCAGACACATAAATCAAAATTCTGAATGAAAACATATAAAGTTTTTAAACATATTTTATTTAAATTGGTTTACCTTTCTAGAAGAAAGCAGCAATCTATAATCTTTAAGTGTCATGTGAAGTTTATTAACTATATTAAAGGATGAAAAATATCTCTAGTTGTTCCACATCAAAATAAAAAAAAAAAAACAAGAGTATTTCAGTCAGGACAGGGTTAATGAAACTGTGAGATAGAAAAATACTCTTGGATTTCAAATCTGCTTCGCATTGTAAACTAAGCACTAGTTTTATAGAAAAATCATCATTTATCTGTAATACTATAAATATATGTCTCTCCAAGCATTCAAGCTATAAGATACCGATTACTACCTATCCAGCACAACCTTTCCCGGGGTAGACCTAATGACCCTCAACAGTGTACAGAGAGAACTGGGACTTACCAGGGGATGTGATCTGTGAGTGACCACAAGCTGTTTGACCTTCACAAGTTGTTTTACCTTTCCTGCCTTCCAGCTCCATTTCACCAATCTATTTTTTTATATAGCTGTCATTGAAAGCCACCTCAGCGCCTTCCTATTCAGAGTAGGGTTCAAATAAATAGATTTTTAAAAGAGAAAGGAATTCAAACCAAGACTTTCTGGTTCCAGATTCCAAAGTCATAGTTGAAAATACATTATTGCCCATTTGAAATCAATTTAATAGTTGCATATTCACTGATTTTATAATGAATTCATTTTAATTTAGGAAAGGTTAAATCAAGATATCCAATTCCTAGGCATTGTTAGATTTCAAAACAGTAAGAAATACCCATTTATCTATTGTGGTAGGAATACACAGGATGTGTTTACAGGAAATTAGGAAAAGTCTGGGAAAGAAAATATTCAGGGTTTTTCAAATATTTTCATAACATTACTTTATGAATGAGACTTACAAAGATGATTCAACTAGGCTATAATATATTATGTTTAATAACATGTTTAGGTTCCAGAGAAACCACTGGGGGAACAGGCTCAGGAGATGTTGGGGCTGGTATATGGATATAACAGCACTGTATATTTTTAAAATGCATTCTTCTAGTGACATTTGCAATCATATGAATAAAAGCAGAATTGGGAAAATGGTATGCTGCCAATGAAGATACAGCTATTTTTAATCAGGGAAAATTTACTAGCTAATTGGACAATAAGTGTTTATGGATTCCTCTAACTCTAGACATTACATTTTTCATTTGATATTGTAAAGTATTCCTTCTATTAAACAAACTCAGTCTTTGGAAAATATGTAAAAGCGTATTAAAGGCAGGAATTTAAGTTTGAGTAATTTTAATGTTTTGGCATAGAGACATTCTAAATTTAAATGGTAGCAGGGGCATTTTTACTGAGTAAATTAGAAATTATTTAACAATCACTTTACAAATCATTTAATGATGACAGAAAACCTCCTTGGTAGGCAAAACTAGTAGACTAAGAGACATGAAGATCTCCTTTTGAATTTTCTTATTTTTTTTTTTATGTATTTATTTGAGACAGAGTCTTGCTCTGTCACTTAGGCTGGAGTGCAGTGGCTCGATCTTGGCTCACTGGGTTCTCTGCCTCCCAGGTTCAAGCGATTCTCTTGCCTCAGCCTCCCAAGCAGCTGGGATTACAGACATGGGCCACCACACCCGCTAATTTTTGTATTTTTAGTAGAGATGAGGTTTCACCATGTTGGCCAGGCTGGTCTGGAACTCCCGACCTCAGGTGATCCACCCACCTCAGCCTCCCAAACTGCTGGGATTACAGGTGTGAGCCACCGTGCCTGGCCTCCTTTTGAATTTTAATAAAGGATAGAAACTCATTTCTTATTAAACTTTGATCTTCTCCATCATTGCATTTATACCAATTACAACTAATTTATTATTTGTATAATCTATTGAACATTTGTTTTACCCACTAGACTGTGAGCTCCATGAGAAGACGGAAGATATCTATTTTAATCAGCACTGTAGCTGGTATGTACTAATAATAATAACAGTAAGTGTTAACTTTTACTGAGTACTTATTATTCATCAGGCCTTGTGTTAAGCATTTTCTGTCTATTACTAGTAAGTTCATTTAATTATATTTATTAAGTTAACAAGTAAAATTTGTAGTGAATCAAAAGACCCTAAATTTATACAGAGAAGCACAAAAGACCTTTTGCCAAGCAGAATGAGGCCCAGGGTGAGAAGGGCCAGAAAAATTCAGCTACTCCATAAAAATGATTAAACCAAGGCTCAGAGAGGTACAGGCAACCTGCTTAAAGCCACAGGAAAAAGGTCACAAATTCCAGTATGTCCTGATGATGTGTCTGATGCCACTGAGCATAGA
This sequence comes from Homo sapiens, assembly GCF_000001405.40. Taxonomy (NCBI): domain Eukaryota; kingdom Metazoa; phylum Chordata; class Mammalia; order Primates; family Hominidae; genus Homo; species Homo sapiens. Next base: position 121,170,223 of record NC_000007.14, on the reverse strand, counting down.
GCATCTGAAGAGAGATGCAGTGAGTTAGCTGCTGCAAAAACTAGACAGATTTCTTATATATGGACTCACTCTTCATCATTCACATACTCCACAAACACTCACTGGCTATCGACCTTATACCACGTGCTTTGTGAGGTGGCAGGCATGGCAAGACAAGGAAGAAAAATCTAGGGGAGATATGCATGTAAGCAAGTGTCACTAAGGTGTAGTCCATGTAAAATAGGGAAGTGTAAGGTGTAAGGAAGTGTTAAGTGTAAGGTGGGGATCAAAGGAAGAAGTGATTTCCTCCCACAGACATCGATTAAACCATTTGCATTATTGGAGCCATCCATGCTAAAGAAAAAAAAATCCAAACACAGTTCCTTCAACGTAAAAAATATTTGAATGTACCTTAGAGATTAACTCAAAATTATTTTATCAGTCCCTGGAGGAAATCACATTTCAGCACTATTATCCTGAATTTAGAGTGAAAAGAATCACTTTAGTTGCCACTTTTTCTCTCTGAACTCACTAGCCACAGATCAATAAGATCATCCATTCATTCAACAAATATTTATTGCATGTTTATTACATCAGGCACTGGGATACACGAGTGGCAAATTTAAAAGTTTAGCCATTAGTATTCTCAGTGGCATACCAAAATTTGATGATATTCTTCAGTAAAAAATTTCAACAAAATGATATTTTGATCATTATCAGATGATCAAATGATATTTTAATCATTATCAGAACTTAATGGAAACAAAAAAGCATGGATTATCTGTTGCTTCCCAATAAAACTAAATCTAATTCAATGCCATCCTATTCTTAATATAAAACAGAAAATTCCATTGAAAACAAAAATACATTTTTAAAACGGGAAATAGGATCAAAAATTTCATATTCAATAAAGTTGCTTTTTCCTAATTTTCCCAATTACCTTCTTTATAGAACTTAGTTTTTCATCCAATCATTTTAATACTGTCTTATGAATGTAATTTTAGCTAATTTAACTTATCTCTAAAAGCTATAGGCAGCTTGTTAATTTGATGTCTTTATAAAATACAGTGACTCGGAACCTATTTAATGTTGAAACTTGTATACATATTCATTTATACATGCATTCTGAACTCCTATCAATAGCATTTCAGATTTTTAAATAGCTTGTAATATTGCATTTGTTTCATTAGAATATTTTATAAGCACATACACATATTTATGTTGTATTTGAATATTAGGTTCCTGTTATCAGCCATTATAAATGTATACAGTAAAGTCTTCATTGAGGTTCTAAACTTGTTTGATTTTTCCTTTTCCTATAACTCTGAAACATTTGCAGAGTTTGCCATACTGAAGTGTCTACCTTTATAAATAGTCTTGTTTCTAAGAAATTTTACAGGAAGACAAACATCCCATGTTTTCACTTATTTGTGGGATCTAAAAATCAAAACAATTGAACTCATAGACACAGAGAGTAGAAGGTTGGTTACCAAAGGCTGAAAAGGGTAGTGGAGCGCTGGAGGAGAGGTGGGGGATGGTTAATGGATACAAAAAAATAGAATGAATAAGACCTAGTATTTGATATCACAATAGGCTATTGTCAATAATAATTTAATTGTACATTTTAAAATAACTTAAAGAGCGTAATTGGATTTTTTGTAACTCAAAAGTTAAATGCTTGAAGGGTTGGATATCCCATTCTCCATGATGTGATCATTACATATTCCATGCCTGCATCAAAACATCTCATGTACCCCATATACACCTACTACATACCCACAACAATTTAAAAATTTTTAAAAATTAAAATTATGCAGAACCATGTTTTAGTAAATAAAATTATATGTTAAAAGTGATATTTAAGAGAATACAAAGTCTTGATTCTTTAGATAGAGAAGACTACTTTTAAAATATTAAGACCTTGTCAGTCACTTTTTAAGAATTGTAAGTTTTAAAAATTATTTCAGGTTTTCTTAAAGTGAAAGAGAAAGTTTAAATATCCAGTGAGTAAAGAGGTCAGCTGATAGGAGCTTTTACTTGAGCAACATTCTCAGCATATTAAACCTCTGACCAGTAAGAGAGCCTCCCGCTATGATAGCGTTCAGAATGTAAGCCAGTAATGAACTGCTCTGCATACATAGAGAAGCTGCGCCCAACAAGGACCTCAGGAACTAAGCTCAGCTCTTTCGAGTTTAAAAGCAATAGACTTTTGGGTCAGGAGCGGTGGCTCACGCCTGTAATCTCAGCACTTTGGGAGGCCGAGGCGGGCGGATCACGAGGTCAGGAGATCGAGACCATCCTGGCTAACACGGTGAAACCCCATCTCTACTAAAAATACAAAAAAAATTAGCCGGGCATGGTGGCAGGCGCCTGTAGTCCCAGCTACACAGGAGGCTGAGGCAGGAGAATGGCGTGAACCCGGGAGGCAGAGCTTGCAGTGGGCCGAGATCGCTCCACTGCACTCCAGCCTGGGCAACAGAGCGAGACTCCATCTCAAAAAAAAAAAAAAAAAAAAAAAATAGACTTTAAAAGGTAAACTAAAATTAATGGGTTCTAGTAGTTTTCTTCAGACCTTACAGCTTACACAAAATGATTTAACTTTTATATCAGATCTCAAATATGTTATGGTGTCTGTTTCAAATTGTTATAGAATGCAGACAATGCATCTATTCTCTTCATTAAGTTTCTCAAGCAGACTTTATGCTGTGATCCTTTTCATAAATCCCATGATCTTAAACATGACTGCTCACCTTGTTAGAATACGATGCTTATAAATTAAACAAAACTCTCCAGAACTAGTGGAGGGTGAAGGATTCAATCTTGGTTGCATTCCAAAGAACTCTTTTTTCCATAAAGAAATGAATTCTGTTGGCAGCCCCTTATTCTCAGGGTTCTTCCTCACTTCTACAGGGGCCAAGGAAGGTTTCCTATGCTCTGTTGCCATCATCTTGGCTGCACTCTGATTTCATGACCTCTGAGTTAATCCTTCTTTTTTTCCTATTAACAAGTGTAAGCAGACCAACTTCAAACGGACTGCAATAGGTCACAAGGTTTAATGGGCATAGAGATAATCATCTAAATTACATTTCTAGGCCTGATGGGCTAGACAGACTTAGAGGGTCACTTTACCAGCATTTGCTGTTAATCAGCAAGGTTGGTGGGTCTCAGAGTGTAGCTGTTTTTACCTTCCTCCCTGAGGGGCTGGGTCACACTGAATGATTAGCGAAGGCAGCTGCATTAACTTTCTTCTTCCACAAAGTGTGTTGTGTCCCAAAAGGACATGAAAGTCAAATGTGGCCACAGCTCAAACACCAGACGCACTCTTTTCATCTCAGTGGAATTATCTGCCCTCTACTTGTAGATCATGATCCTCAGCACAACAGTTGTTGCTGATTTTCACGATCTGTTAACAGTTAGGAATTTTTACATTAAAGAACTTTCTCCTACATTTATTTCTTGTAGCAACTAGGAAAATGCCATAGCCTACTGTATATATTTTTTAATGCTACATGATTCTTAACTTTAAAAGGAATGAGAAAAACAGCATTACTCCAAAAAGAAGAAGAACCAAAATAATTTTACCTCTTAAAATTCTAAGATAAATATCCTTTGGGAACTGGCAGGGAGAAGAGCATCATGAGTTGTTTTTACAATACAGGCTCATACAATTTTAGTTAAATATTTCAGTTTATTATCAAAGAAAACAATAGCCTTTTTTCCTGAGTGAGATGTTAGAATGTGTATTTAACTGAAATTCAAAAAAAGGATGAACTGGAATCATTTAAAATGTATCAGTATGTCTAATATATAAGTAAATATAATATATGTCTCATCTGTATAATACTTCATAACTTGCGAAAGTCTTTTGCATCCATTATCATTTTATTCTTAATAACAATCCAGGGAAATAGGTTGGGGCAAGTATAAATTATGTCCATTTTATACATCATAGCAATTTTCCGAGAACTTAAGTGGCTTGCTCAGTGTCATTGTGGTAATAAGCGATAAAGCTAGCACATAGATTCAAATCTTCTGATGCCACACCCAATCCATGTATCTTATTGAATAACATACAAAATGTGGTCTTCTGGTGAAATGTTTTTTTTTTGTTTTTTTTTGTTTTTGCCATGCACTCAGGCCCTTGTGGCAGAGCTGGTGGGTAAGTTGTGTTTACATAATTAGCGTTCTAATGTGAGCAAAAACAGATATATTAAACTGATTCAATAAGAAGGATGTTGATTTGTCAAAATAGCCACATACATTACAATGTTTCTAAAACTTGGATGACCCTCAATAGTACAGAGTTTATAAAAGCCACAGATACATCCAATCATATCTTAGCTTGATGCTGAAGAGACCATTTAGAAAGCTAACAAATAATTGGAATGCAAATGATTTAAATGAAAGCCAGAATCAAAAGAAATGCTTGATCTTTATCAGTTCCAATCTTAAAATATATTGTCTTTCTCTGAATTGTAAAAATTTTACCTCTCCCCCAACACATGCCAAAAAGAAGAAAAGTAACAATTTAGAAACTTCAGACTTAGTGGTGGTTAATCATCCAGGGGACTGAAGTAGGGTGGGGACATATTGTGAACTCTGATGAGGTCTCTAAATATTGGAGAAAGAATGAAAGGAAAGGAAATTAAAGTATAGAGGGTGTTAATTCTAAGAAAAGGACATATTTAATGATGTATGACTTGGTCAAATGATTACTAAACATACTATCACTCTTTCATGATTGAATAGTAGGAAGACTGGGGTAAAGATTATTTGAAGCTACTCATACAAAATTGTGTCCTTAAACATGAATTTGGTCATTAATGAACAGATCCTTTATTTTCATTACTGGTCAGTTAATGAGTTTCTAATTTTTAAAGTTTGACAAAAGGAAATTTACTTTTGCTTTTAGACACTGCTTTCTCAAAAACAGTTACAAACAACACCAAAAAGAAACAAGAAAAAACACTTACTGGATACTTAAGTGAAGTTTATATACTGGATACTTAAGTGAAGTTTATATCCAACATATCCTACTTTGGCACATCTTTTATCTGATGCTTGATATTACTTTTCCTTTTTTGTTCCTTTTTGTTTTTATAGATTTAAATTATGTTTAACAAGGGCAAATAAAACTTAAGAAACATAGTAATTTATGTTAGCAAAACAATCATTGAAATACACAAATGTAAGAAAACAATGAATTTTAAAATTTCAGAGAGTTCAAGAAGAAACTTAGAAAAATACCTTTGATGTTCAGAATCACTTATAGGAAGAGTCAGAAAAGTTGAGAAAATGAAGACACATTTATGTCATAAAGAATACAGAGTGAACAATATAGGACTAGAAGTCAAGTTTTGGGAAGTACCACTAAAAGGTGTTTATTCCCTAATAAAACTATCTCCTTGGTGACATTACTTGAAATTTAGTCTTTTCACACACAAAGACAGGGTATTTTGAGAGGTAAAGAAATAGCCTTTCCTATCAGACAAATAAATGGAATATGGAAGAAATGTATTGAAAAGAGAATGCACCTGAGCTACATAATGATAAAAGCAGGTGCTTTTTATATGAAAAAGAAAAGGCATCAGCTTAGGGGTAGTAAAAGACAATGGTTCTCAAAGCGCAGTTTGGGGACAAGAGGCATGGCATCAGCATCAGCTGGAAAGTCACTAGATATGCAAATTCTTGAGCCCCATCCTAAACCTACTGAGTGGGAACCTGGGGTTTAAGCCAGCAGTCTGTGTTTTAATAAGCCCTCTGGGAAATTTCAATGCATGCTTAAGCTTGAGAATCACTAGGATGAGGAAAAGCAGTGACAAGAGAGGAACGAAAGAAGTGAAGCCAGTATCCTGGTCAACATAGTCCTACTGTCTTTCGGGGAGGGGATTCCTCAGTTGCTACATTGCTCATAATCAGTCAGAAACACTTAAGGCCTAGATGAAACTTAAGAAGTGAACTAAAGAAGTGTACTAGACCAGAGAGGAATTGGGTGGCAAATTGTGGATATAATCCTCCAAATCCACAGTGGCACACAGCCCCTTTAAATCCTGGGCCAAGTATCCAGCAGTGGGCCATGCCCTGGGGCATCTGGAAAAGGAAGTGATCACAAGGTCTTATTAGGGCCTTCAAATCAGATTTGTGATGTTCTGAGCTTTTGTTCCTTAATATTTACAAACACACAAATAGTGGAAGAAAGAGCAGAGCACCTAGCAGTAAATTGGGACTGAGGACATACTTCTAACTAAAATGTTTAGATTATTGAGGTTTTAAAAAATCATTTGGTCTATCCAACCCTGTGATGCCTGAATTCTTTCTTTAATATTGCCACCAAGTGGTCAATGAGTCTATTCTTGGGATACTTTAAAGACAAACCTGTTGCCCATTGAGAAGGCATATTTATTTTATCTTTGGAGAGCTATGGGTATGAGAATGGACTTATTTATATTGAACTGATAGCTGTCTTGTTGTGAGGCTCCATAAAATATAGGAATTCAGGACACTTGTCATTTTTTCATGGCCCATTGTTCAACCCTCTCTTATTTAGAGGGAATCCTATACTATAAATGCCAAGTAATCCTGCTCTGTCTAGTGAGCAGAACAATAACATGTGATTTAAATGTGGCTAACTGGATGCCCCACTGTAAGATTTCAAATTTGGAACAAATGACACAAGTAAGATAGGACAGTTTAGAAATTGTTCATGGCCTTGATGTTCAGCAGCAAAGGCAGAAGCAGCAGCCTGTAGGCTCTGGAGAAGAGAGTGTGTCCAGTGACAGTGGGAGTCGGGGTGGTACTTTGCCTGCAGCTCCTCCTGTTTCCCTTGATTCCTGTCCATTTTCTGCTTCTATAGTCTTCCCACAATAGCTCAATTCTGTAAGCTACCAGATATGTTTTGAATAAAGTTCCTTTTCTGCTTAGGTTAGCCAGAGTTGGTTTCTATTTCCTGCACAAGAACATTGACTAAAAAATTAGATGTAATAGAATGTTGTGGGGAGTGGGGTAGAAATGATGAAATGACATTAGAGATGTTTGATTGAAGGTTGGTTATCTAAGTAAAAGGTGGTTCAAATGCAGTTGGATAAATGGATTGGAGTCCATGAGGAGAGTTGAGACTGGAAGTAGATATTTCATAGACATCTTTTAAGTCCTAGAACTGGAGGAGATATTCAGAAGATAAACCTCAGGTAGACTTTGTTCTTTGTTTCCCAGCATCTGTCTTTCTTAAAAGAGTATTTCTAATTTCCTTTGGGAATTGATTTTGTTTATGCTTAGCTATGAGGTTTGGAGGAATTGGCCTCTTACCAGTTCTAGGGTTAGACTTCATTGGCTTAAATCAATCAGTAGTAAGTAGTTGGGTACAAAATCCAATCAGTGATAATGATATTTATGCATATTTCACAGGAACTCCCAGGAAAGTGATGTGAGGTTTTGGTTCAGCATGACCACATGTGTGGACATCTGAGAGAACCTGCAGTTGCCTGAAGGCTCCCATGTGGAGTCTGAGGGTGAGGTAACAACTAAAATACACCACAGTGAGATGGAGAGGAAACAGATGACATTGTTTAAGCACTGAATCAAACTTCACCTGGAGCTTGGAATATCTGGATTTTTTCAGTGAAATCTGCTAGTAAATCCTCTTTATTTTAAAAAACAAATCAAAGTAGGTTTTTTTGAATTAACAATATAAATTGTTCTAGTCATTGTATCCCTTCTCTTCAATTACCATCCTTCCTCCCACACACACATTAAGTTTATCATTTATGGTATGAGTGCATTGGATTATATCAGAAGACATGAACTGATGTTCTCTGTGCGGAATCTGATCACAGAATTTTATTTACTTGTTTGCCTTGCAGAGGCTTCCCTTTTAAAAATTAGTTATCAATATGTAAAACTTGAGAAGTCTTCCATTAAAATTCAAATGTTAGGTTTCTTTGGAAGAATTAGGAGATTCCACAATACTGAATCATCCTTCCAAAGTAGCAGCAAATATCTTGACCTGAGCAGTTGCTGTTCACATTTAACAGGGCATATGCTTTCCACTTAGCCATAGTCCTCACCAGTTCCTATTGCCTACACTTGGCCTAATTCTGTCATTTATATTAGCCATGTCTGAAAAGATTTGTGTTTGCAACACTTTATGGACTTAAGTCCCAGGTCTGCCACTTGTTTTCTGTGATGATACTGCCCATCACATATGGTTGTCTTATAAAGTGGTAAAATCTGACAAGAACAGTGTAGGCATTTACTACAAGAGACTGCTCTACTGTGTGAGGTTACTCCAATCATAGACAATAGTTTTAATTGAAGAATCTCAACTTGTAAGGTAAATAAATAAATGAGAAATAATTTTATTTTTTTTGAATAACTGCTACTATCCTGCTATGTTGACAAACCTACCCCCTTTCTTAATGGATCTGGTTCCCTTCACGATACTAAAGTCCTGTATCATTACACTTTAGTAATTGCCAGTTATTAAAAGTCTCATTTTCACTAAAACTTTATTCTCATTTTGATCCAAAGCTTTCCCCCAGGGAAATGTAGATTTGCAGCTCCCACTCTTTATGGTAGGCAGAGAAGTATGACAGGTCTAATTCTGAGATAGCTCTTATTCTTCCTGGCCCTTGATGTATATCCATCTTCCTCCAGTTATTCAAGCAAACACTAATCTAGGTGTTGCTGGGAGAGATTTTGCACATGTAATTAAATTCCCAAATCAGTTGACCTTAAATTAGGGAGCTAAAATCTGGGTCTAGAGGTCAGAGATAGGAAAGACAGAGAGAGAAAAATCCTGGGAGAGAGATTCAAGGTGTGAGAGTCCCCATTGCTGGCTTAGGAGATGAAAAGGACCAGGTGGCAAGGAATGTGGGCAGCCTCTGGGAACTGAGAGCAGTCCTGGACTGGCAGCTTGTAAGGAAACAAGGACCTTAACCCTCCAGTTGCAGGTAAGGGAATTCTGCCAGCAACCCCAGTGAGCTTGTCAGTGGGCTCTTCCCCAGAGGTTCCAGACAAGAATTCAGCCTGGCCAACACTTTTAGATTTTGAGCTCTGAGCAGAGAACACCGTCCCACTGCCCCTGGATTTCTAAGCTACCAAACCTGACCTACTGAATGGATGTTGTTTTAAAAGTTGCTACATTTGTGGTAATTTGTTGCACAGCAATAAAAAAAGTAACACGGAAGGGTTGGAGGTGGTGAATGGGGTCCGTTCCCTCATAACTTTCCTAAATTTTTTCCTTTTGATTTAAGGTGGGAGAAGATGGCAAAATAAATCTTTTGGGGGTCATCCCTGTTGACCTCGATCATTGTCTCATTGTTGGGGGGTAGCCTCAAAAAAGCCATGATGTTGAGGCAGTTGTCTGGAGCATTGAGAGGCTCAGCTACCTTTTCCAGCTGATCCTGATCAAAAGCCTCAGGTATCTTTTCATCTCCTGCTGGGTCCCTGAGAAGCCTACATACAAAACCCCATTTCTTCTACCTTCTACAGCTTTAACTCTGGGGACTGTGGCCTGGGACAGATATAGCTCTACCTCGAATTCCTGAGAACTCAGGGGACTGCTCCTTGCCCCTTCTTAGCCTGGCGAACCTTACCAGCAGCAGTATCTCATCACTCTCTTTCTCCCTTTCTGGCAGTACAAGGCCATTCCTCAGACCCTGTTACTAAGCAGATATTCAGCCAGGTAAACAAGCAATTTTCTCTCCCTCTTGAAGTCATCTCTAAGCTTCACAGGTGATTACCTTAAGAGGAGAAATCATGGACCCCTCTCCCTTCCCCCTCTGGGAGCAGGTTGGGGGGACATAGTCTCTCTTCATGAACAATACATTCCCCAAAGTTCACCTCTTCTCGCTCTCTATCCCCTCATATCTCTCTTGCAGCCAAATATATGAAAGTCTGAGGCTAAGGAGGCCTTCTTTTACTAAGATAAGGAGAAGAGGAACTGTACTCATACAACCTTCATGCACAGGGATATCAACACTATTCTGATGCAATAGTGATGTAATGTCATAGTGATATAATGTAATAGTGATGTAATGTAATGATGCATTTAGCATTTTTAAATCTCATGTACCCCATAAATACATACACCTACTATATATCCATAAACATTTAAAATTAAATAAAAATTAAAAAAAAACAATTTGGTGAATCTGGATGTAAAGTGTATAGGAATTGTTTATACTGTTTTTCAACTCACAAGTTCAATATTATTTCAAAACACAAAGCTAAAACAATTTAAAAATTATATATGCAAAAATACCCCATAAATGTAATCATGCATTTTAACATTTTTCAAGAATGTCATATTAATGTAACCTAGATCATAACTTTTAAAATAGGGCATGTATTTAATTTTGTATTTGGTTTGAACAGTATCATTTAATTTTACAAATATTAAGAACTTTCCAGGCATTGTGCTACGTGAGGATGATAAAAGACCTAAGCTTTGGCCTGGAGAAGTTTACCATGTGTGTGCATGTATGTGTGCGAGTGAGGGAGAGAGACAAGAGTAATATACAACAACAGAGTGTTAGCTAATTGTAGAGTTTTTAAAAAGATACCACAATTATTTCACCATCTTGAACAATATTTTTGCTAATGGGTTGGGGAATCCACGCCATTTAAAATGGAATTTAAATAAGATTGGGATTGCCTCTTTTGGTAACAATAAGAGGTAGGTTCATTTAAAAATACTTTTGAACTAAACATTTTAATATTTAAATATGTATCTAACTTCAAATTCTTTCTTATCATAATGAATCCATGTACCCGGCATAACAAATCCATGTATTTCTACTGAATTTTTTGAAGAGGTAAACAAAAACAAAAACTTCTGATCAAGTCAGAGGCCCTCATTGATCTCCCCCAAATTATAATCTCAACTCCAATTGATCACTCCCCACTCACAGATTCTGGTGCAGTTTTGAATAAACTTGAGTTTTACAAATCAGAAGAGTAAATTGTATAGATGTCTTTTTCTCTTTCTGAAACGTAAAATCTAAAATTTATACCATTTTTTTTACATACCCAATAAAAAGTGAAATCTTTATTCTCTGGGTCTGCAAAAGCAACTTTTGAAGTCGAATATATTTATCAACATACTCACTAGGGGCATTTTTTTCCCTACAGTTTTGGAGAGAGTCTGAAAACCAATACCAGTATGGTTTAGATATTCATAATTGTTTACACATGTTTCAGTAACGAAATATATTTCGGGGGGTTGGCACTTTATTTTAGGATTTGGGATAGCTGGAAATTATTATTGTTATGGTTAAAAGTGTTCTAACTGGATAATGGCATTAAAAAGAATATAACATTCTGGAATCCTTCCTCTTAACATGAAAAACATTATTTTATTACATGGAGTTATTTAAATATGGATTGGCTGTTGTCTGGCTAGTTACACATGGAAGTGTCTAAAGAAATAAGTTCTTGGAAGAAGCATCAAATAGAAAATGACTATCGTTTCTTATTATTAATAGTATTATTGTTATGCAGAGAAACCTTAGTACTCTTTTTAAGGGCTAGATGGTTAATATTCCATATCCTGCAGTGACAGATTCTAATTAAATATTTAAGAAGTGGGACATCTTTTCCAATCATGATACACAGTATCTATTACCTTGGAGAAATATAAAAATTTTTTTAATATTTGTTCCTCCAGAAAAAAAAAAAAAGATGATTAATAAGGGACTCTGTGTCTCCCAGAACCTGAAATGTTTCTTCTAAGGAGCTAGACTATGTTAAGAGCCAAGAGGAAGCAAGGTTCAAAGGAAATTCATCTAATATTTGTGCTCTGGTTATGAAAGGGGGTGAGAAGCTGTTCATCAGCGGCATGTGTCCAGTTGGCAGGGAGGGCTGAATGCCAGACTGGGGTTATCGTGATCACAGATGGACTTAGCATGGGAAAGAGGATGTCAAAGACTCCCAGTCAGTGCAGCTATTTTGGGGGCTTTACACAAATCATTATTTTTTCATTCTGTACCACTATTGCCTCAGTCAAATGTATTTGTTTAATTTATAACAAACATGCAAACCCTTAAACAGCAGAACTTAATATAACAATTATCTCTTATATGTTGATACCATGACCCAATAATTACTTCCTATTTGCTGATTGGCTATTGAACATTTGCAGATTACCAATGTAGGTCTCATCCTTGGAGATATCACTGAAGGAGGGTTATTAAAGTAATGAATTATAATTGTGCATATAATGCATCCCTTTCATCAAAAAATTTTTTACAGTTTTTATATTTTATGATATCAAGACAATGCCACTAAGATTTAACCAGTAAGGGTATAGAAGAGCTAAGTCAATATTATAAAGAATATTCTAAAGAAGAAATGGGGAACTTTTTCAGCCAGGGAGGGTAAATTGTCAGTGAACTGGCAATCCTGCATTCATTTTACTCATTTTATTCATTCACTTTATTCATTTTCAGGAACTCAAGAACCGTGTCTAGGTCTGGATGCCGATAGCCCTTCTACATAAGGCACAACTACAAACTGCCAGCGGGTCTGATACCTGATTCATGGGTTCTCAACCTTACTCTGCTGGCAAAGTTCATTGACTGGCAATGAACTTTGGTCAATTATTGATGGTGGACTTTGGCAAATTATTGAGGTTTACTGATATGCAGGGTGAGGTGTTAGATGTCAAAGATCCTCCTAACTCCAAAGTTCAGTGTGACATTGGAACACAAGACTCACCAATGGCCTAACTATGAACTGGCTACTGGCCACAGAGCTACTGGTCAATCCTACAGCTAGAAACACACCCCGTTGCTCACACCCTCCTCTACTGGTATCTTCCCCATTAACAATGTTGGCCCCTCAAACCTTTTCCCCACACGTAATTGTTGCAGGGCTCCCTGGTGCACTCGACCCCTTTCTTATGACTGCCCCCGTCACTATATTAATGATATCGTATATTAAGTGGGCTTTTAAAGGCTTACCTAAAACCTAACCTCATATGTAAATTTACTTCTATACACGCACTAGAAATTAATGACAAGTTCCAAACAATAACCTACAAATTAACTCTTGGAGCCAAAACTCTATGTAAAGTATATACAGTTGACCCTTGAACAGCAGGAGGTAAGAAGAGGGGTGGTGGTTAGTAATGCCAATCCTCCAGGCAGTCAAAAATCCAAGTATAACGTTTGAATCTCCAGAAACATAATTGCTAATAACCTACTATTGAGTTGAATCCTTGCTAACATAAACAATTGATTAACACATATTCAACTGACAATACATATCAAGCAATTCAACTTTTTCTGTTATATCATGACTTTTCTCTGCTTCTTGGGAGCACTTCTAGCATCATTAGTGGTGGCACTTTTTATGGGTGCCCTGGTGTTATTCAAGTTTACAGTATTGCACTAAACACAATAAAAATATGTACGAGCCATGAGAGATCACATTTTATTTTTTAATTTTTTTATTTAGACAAAATATGCATATAAAATTTACTGTCTTTATTATTCTTAAGCATACAGTTCAGTGGTAATAAGTATAGCTATATTCTTTTTTCCTTCCATCCTCCTTCTATCATTTCTGGCTTCTGGTAACCATCACTCTATTCTCAATCTTCATGAGATGTATTTTTTTAGCTCACATATATGAACGTGAACATGCAACATTTGTCTTTCTGTGCCTGGCTTATTTCACTTAATATAATGGCCTCCAGTTCCATTCATGCTGCTGTAAATTACATGATTTCATTCTTTTTTATGGCTGAATAATATTCCATTGTGTATAATACCATGTTTTCTTTATCCACTCATCTGTGACAGACACTTAGGTTGATTCCATATCTTGGCTATTGTGAATAGCGCTGCAATAAACAGGAGAGTGCAAATATCTCTTACCTATATTGACTTTCTTTCTTTTGGATATATACTCAACAGTGGGCTGATGGATCATCTGGTAGTTCTATTTTTACTTTTTTGAGGAACCTCCATACTGTTCTCCATAGCGGCTGTTCTAATTTACATTCCCACCAACAGTGTGCCAGAGTTCCCCTTTCTCCACATTCCTGCCAGCATCTGTTATTGTCTTTCTGATAAAAGCCATTTTAATTGGAGTAAGATAATATGCCATTGTGATTTTGATTTGCATTTCTCTGATGGTTAGTATGTTGAACATTTTTTCACATCCTTGTTGGCCATTTGTATCTCTTGAGAAATGTCTTTTCTGATCTTTTACTCATTTTAAAATCAGATTTATTTTTTTGCTATTGAGTTGTTTGAGTTGTTTACATATTTTAGTTATTGAATCCTTGTTATATGGACACTTTGCAAGGCGTTTCTCCCATTTTTTAGGTTATCTCTTCATTGATTGTTTCCTTTGTTGTGCAGAAGCTTTTTAGCTTTATGTAATCCTGATTGTCTAATTTTGCTTTGGTTGTCTGGGGTTTTAAGGTCTTATACAAAAATCTTTGCTCAGACCAATTTTCTGGAGCACTTTTCCAATGTTTTCTTCTGCTAGTTTATAGTTTCAGGTTTCAGATTTAAGCCTTTATTGCATTTTGATTTGATTTTTGCATATGAGAAATAAGGGTCTAGTTTTATTCTTCTGCATATAGTTATCCAGTTTTCCCAGCACCATTTATTGAAAAGACTGTCCTTTCCCCATTATATGTTTGTGGCATCTTAAGTGAAAGTGAATTGGCTGTAAATGCATGGATTATAGCTGGGTTTTCTATTCTGCTCCATTGGTCTACACATATGTTTTTATGCCAGTACTATGATGTTCTTGTTACTATAGCTTTGTAGTTAATTTTGAAGTCCTGTAGTGTGATGTCTGCAGTTTTGTTCTTTTTACCAAGTATTGCTTTGGCTATTCAGGATCTTTTTTGGTTCCACATAAATTTTAGGATTGTTTTTCTATTTCTGTGAAGAATGTTATTGGTATTTTAATTGGGATTGCACTGAATCTGTAAATTGTTTTGGAAAATACTGTCATTTTAACAATATTAATTCTTCCAATCCATGAGCATGGAACATCTTTCCATTTTATTTGTGACCTCTTTTATCAGAGTTTTATAGTTTTCCTTGTACAAATCTTTCATTTCTTTAGTTAGATTGATTCCTAGTTATTTTATATTTTTATAGCTATTATAAATGGGGTTGCCTCCTTGATTTCTTTTTCAGGTTGTTTGCTGTTGGCATATATAAATGCCATTGATTTTTGTATGTTGATTTTGCAACCCGCAACTTAACTGAATTGTTTAGCAACTCTAAGTTTTTTGATAGAGTATTTAGGATTTTCTAGGTATAAGATCATGTCATCTGTGAACACAAATCAATAAACATGACACATTAACAGAATCAAGAATGAAAACCGTATTATTTCAATGCTGAAAAAGCATTTGATAAAATTCAACATCTCTAGGCCGGGCGCGGTGGCTCACGCCTGTAATCCCAGCACTTTGGGAGGCCGAGGTGGGCGGATCACAAGGTCAGGAGATCGAGACCATCCTGGCCAACATGGTGAAACCCCGTCTCTACTAAAAATACAAAAATTAGCTGGGCGTGCTGGCGCATGCCTATAATCCCAGCTACTCAGGAGGCTGAGGCAGGAGAATCGCTTGAACCAGGGAGCTGGAGGTTGTAGTGAGCCAAGATTGTGCCACTGAACTACAGCCTGGCAACAGAGTGAGACTCTGTCTCAAAAAAATAAATAAAATAAATAAATAATAAAAATAAAATAAAAAATAAAAAATTCAACATATTTTGTGATAAAAATCCTTATCAAAATGTATATAGAATGAATATACCTCAAAAAAATAAAGGCCATGTATGACAAGCCCACAGCTAACATTGTACTGAACAGAAAATTTAAAGGCCTTTTCTCTAAGGACTAGAACAAGACAAGGATGCCCACTTGTACCACTTTTATTCAATGTAATTCTGTAAGTCCTGGTCTCAGCAATTAGACAAGAGAAAGAAATAAAGGGCATCCAAATTAGAAAGAGAGATCCCTTTTTACTGTGATGCGCAATTTACTGGAGAGTTAAACTCCTCATATGGAGATGATTAGTGTCAGTTGACATTTTATGTGGATACTTGCAACACTTGAGCTCACTGCAATAACCAGCTACAAAATTATTACAGTAGCACAGTACATACTACAGTTCATTCTATGTAGTTTTGATTTAATACTTCATCTTCACATTTGTTTATATTTCTCTGGACTGGGAATGGCACCATGTATAGTCTGTAAGGGTTTGGTACATTTTGATACATTTTGACTTTCTATAACAGATTTGTATATATTTTATGGTAGTAAGTGATAAAATAGACTAGGATCTACATGTTTTATGCATTAATGACATACCTAACTTTTTCTTATTTTTGATGATTCTAGGCCAGATGGTTTGTGAGTTTTTTCAAATTGTCAGAAAATCTTCAAAAAATTTTTCAATATATTTATTTTTTAAAATCCGCTTATAACTACACCCATGTAATTGAATCCTGTGTTATGCAATGGTCAACTGTACTTACTTTAACAATCTTGTTTTGGTATGTGATAGAGTGGCTTATAGCTTGTAATTAGCAGTGCTCTGGAACCAGGACTTCTGGGTTCAAAAATGGTTTCTGCTACTTACAAGCTATGTGACCTTGGCAAGTTCTTTGTGCCTCCTTTTATTCATCTGTGAAATGGGAGTTATTAAAGTATCTACCTTTTAAGTGTTTGGTTTAGTTTTGAGAATTGAGTTAATAAGTGGAAAGCAATTAGAATAGAACCTAACACACAATAAGTGCTAAATAATTATCAGATGCAATGCATCTAAATGTTCTCAGGAGGGACAATTCTCTAATCCGTGAAGATGTATTAGCATTTGGGAAATATCTAAAAGTCATTTGGAATGAAATCTGATTTCAAAAAAGTGAGGAAGAGTTTAGCAGTTTTGGTTGAAATCATGTAGGCTAAGACTCATTTTCTCATTTAGTTGATTATAATATATGAACAAGTTTACCGTCTTTTAGAATAATAGTATTTTTTAGAGATTACAGATACAAAATAATTAAATTACATTATGATTATGCCTCATTCCTGATAAAACATAGGTAATATCTTTATCCTTTGCTACTAATTTATTAAAACAGCAGAGAGAACATTGATCCCCTCATCCTTATCCTTAATGGAATCTACCAAATGGAATCTTTGAAAGATGTTTCCGGTTTTAGTAAAGAAAGGTTTTCTCTCTTATTGTTAAATAATTCTTAAATTCCCAGTCTCTCTTCTGAGACCGCTAATAAAATGAAATCCACCATTAATCATGCAACTGTCAAAATTAAAATACATGTTTAAGGCAAAATTTACACTCAATTCTGAAATGTTTGTAATCACATTCATTACAAAAATGTACTGTATAATTTAGCACAGGTGATTCATGCTACAAAGTCCTTCATATTTTTGTATCTTATTAAATCTAAACTTAAATTTAAGAAATTTGAAAATCTCCAATACATTTTACTAGACTTCAATGGAAAAATAAAATTTGATGTTTTAAACTTTCCTCTTATGCCAATCTGAAGACATATTTTATTTATCTGTCTCTTTTAAAATATACATTTTGCAAACATGGATACTGGACTCTTTATGTGCCTAGGCACTGTTCCAAGATCTTCACAATATTAACTCAATTTTTCCTTAAAACTCCCTTAGAGCATCAGTATCATTACTATCCATGTATGACAGATGAGAAATTGTACAAGGTCTCTGACAAGTAAGGGTTGAGCTGTGACTGAAATCTAGACAATATAAATAGTATTTTGATCAAAGTATTTAAGAGGGATTATTTCACTCAAAGAAAATTTCTCCCTCCCTGTTATTTCTTAAACCTTTGAAAGCTGGGTCTCTTAACTTTATCAAGAATTTAATTTTAAAATAATTTGTCAGGTCAAGAAGCCCACATGCAATATTTATTTTCCAAATCATTAGGTCTGGAAAGATCATCTTCAAGCATGTGGAGGGGTGGGGAGCTGGGGGATGTGGAGGAGGTAAAAACCCAGCAAACACAGTGAACGTCTGTACCACATTGCTAAAGAATGAGGTCCTGAGAGCTGGAGGGCACTGGGTAGGGGCCTGCTCTGCTTTGAAGAATGAGGTCATGCTCAATGTTTTAAACTCATCAGTCCTGCCTATAAAAGGGTGTGGGTGAAAAAGAAAAAAAGGACAAATTAGCATCATTTTCAAAAGAAGTTAAATATGTCAGGCGGTAAAGTGTCCTAATTCTGTCTTCAGGGAACATATATCAAACCAGCCTGTAGTTAGTTCTGCAATCAGTGAAACCATCTGCAAGGAATACTCCATCCCCCAATCTTGTTCCTACAACACATGCCTATTGAAGGAAATGTCACATGCATGTGGAAATTTTCTCAGCATTACCTAATTGAAACATTGGGCCAACCTTTCTTTGAACAAAAAACAATTTGTTATAGCCTGCTGAAAGAAAGCACACCAATGGCTTTGACTAATGAGAACAATATAAATAGTCCAAATGATATACTGTTCAATTTCTCTGGGTTTTCAGGAGCACCATTACCTACAACTCATAACCACTTTTCAAGCCTGTAAGAAGAAAGCAAGGGCTAGTAGCCCTTTACAGATATTTATTTCTAAGGCAAATATTAGATTTGGTGGCAATTTGCTTTGAGAATTATATCAATTGTTGATTCTTTGTGCTAATACAGATCATTGAAAAAAGCACACAATTCCAAAATGTTATATTGTTAAATAGGCACTAATTTCTTTATCATTAAAACTACAAATGAAACAATGTGTATAAATGGTGCAGTTGCTGGAACAAAGCAAGTGCTCAATAAACTGAATTATAATCATGTATATTTTATGACAGAAATGAAACTGTCCTTATTATGTGTGTCACTGCTAGTAATATTCTGCTTCAGATTGTGAGTTACTAGGATAGGAATTTTTACCTGGCACTTTTCATACCTCTGACATTGTATACGGCATTGGGCATATATACGTACATTATTTCTTGAGATGAGGGGTCAAAACTTTCATCAGATATTCTAAGGGGCACACTGCCTCCTCCAAAATGTTAAGAACCACTGGCCCAGAGGAATCATTTGCTTTAATTTATCCTATATAGAGCCAAACTTTGTTTGATAAAGCCAAAAATATCCTTTAAAAAATACATCAGCCAGCCACTGGCTCATGCCTGTAATCCCAGCACTTTGGGAGGCCGAGGTGGGCAGATCACAAGGTCAGGAGTTTGAGACCAGCCTGGCCAAAATGGCGAATCCCAGCTCTACTAAAATTACAAAAATTAGCCGGGTGTGGTGGCAGGCGCCTGTAATCCCAGCTACTCGAGAGGCTGAAGCAGGAGAATCGCTTGACCCCAGGAGGTGGAGGTTGCAGTGAGCCAAGACTGTGCCATTGCACTCCAGCCTGGGTGACAGAGCGAGACTCCATCTCTAATAATAATAATAATAATAATAATAATAATAATGTTTTAGACTCGGTTTGGCTGTGGGAAAAGGACTTATAAAAATGCCCAACCTGAGGCTGCAGAGAAAAGGAAATACTTATGCTGTTGGTGGGAATGTAAATTAGCTCAGCCACTGTGGAAGACAGTTTGGAGATTTCTCAAAGACCTTAAAACAAAATTACCAATTGACCCAACAATACCATTACTAGGTATATATCCAAAACAAAAATTATTCTACCAAAAAGACACATGCACTTGTATGTTCATCACAGTGCTATTCACAATAGCAAAGACATGGAATCAACCTAGATGCACATCCACAGTGAAATGGATAAAGAAAATGTGATACATATACACCATGCGGAATACTACACAGCCATAAAAAAAGAATGAAATCATGTCCTTTGCAGCAACATGGATGCAGCTGGAGGCCATCATCCTAAGGGAATTGATGCAGGAACAAAAAACCAAATACCACATATTCTCACTTATAAGTAGGAGATAAACACTGGGCATACATGGACATGAAGATGGCAATGATAGACAATACTAGATGGGGGAGAAAGGGAGGGAGGCAAGGGTTGAAAAACTACCTCTTTGGTACTATGCTCATTACCTGGGTGGTGGGTTCAATTGTACCCCAAACCTCAGCATCACAAAACATACTCATGCAACAAACCTGCACAGGTACCCCCTGAATCTAAATTAAAAGCTGAAATCATGAAAACAAAATACTTCGTATCTAAGATCTCTTCTTTCACCACCATCCTCACTATGCTGGTATATACCTTTGCTTGAGTTAGTTTGGCTTGAGAAATGGGGAAGGAAGTGAAGAAAGATAGATAAAAGATAAAATTTTGGAGCAATTAAAGCCCATAAAGATGTGGGCATCAGGGACTGGCATTAATCAAAAAGAGGTTCCCTCTACTTCTGTTTTAGCTACAACCTGTTTCAAAGTTTCAAATGTCACATTGGAAATCCAGCTACTCAAGCAGAATATTTTAGGAAAAAAACCTCTCAGGTTCCTTTCTATTTCTGTGTCCAGTTCAGAAATCAGAAGACAAATTCTTAGAATGTCAAAACATAAACTTGAAGCAACAATGAGGGAATACTGCAGAGACAGTACTTACAGAAACTTCTCTGGATGCTGTCAGAAGCTAGGAAGACCCAATTCTCCTGCACATTGTGTTGGCTCTGCTGCTCTGCTGGGTAGCAAAAGTTTGCTTCTTCTAGCAGAGGAAGCAGATGTGAGTTGGAGAAACATGCAAAACAAATGTGTGGAGCAAAAGTTTTTATGTAAATGGTAATCTATCTGATCGTAAGTGGCATGACCTCATGAGGTGAGTGTTCAACATGACTCTTTTTCATCAACACAAAAGATAATTTATATAAGTGCTGAAACAGATCATGATTGAAAGAACATGCCACTCTGATCTTTGCTTGCTTTATAAGAAAACTGAATGTTAAACAAAACCTCCCAAGCCTTGGATGTGTGCAAATGCTTCCTGGCCACTGGGGAGGTCTATGCATTCAAAATGTCTCCGTGCACCTGCTGCTCAGGAAAATAACATTTCACTTCCCTAGGTGCTTTGTGGGCTCTTGGTAAATGATGGTAAAGGACGGCTCACTGGTAAAGGATGCCTCAGTCCATGGACAAAGAATCTGAAATACCTGCAAAGGTTATGCATTTAAATCAAGGGCACTTAACAAGACTTGAAAGAACGCCGACAGCCCAGGTCATTTGATATTGAAGTAGGTGCCACTGCTAAAGATCTCTTACCGTGAAACAGAAGAGTAGAACCAACTACTCTGTTAGGCACAGCAGCCACAGTGCATACAGCATGTGATATTTTAGGGGCCCCCAAATTTTTATTTTCTTTCAAAGCAGAAAGAAAACAAACTTTTCAGTCGGAGAAGACAGTCTATATCTGTAATATAAATACATTTGTCTTTATATCAACACTATTGTAAAATGTAATATTTATTTATTTGTTGGAACAAAGGGTCCACAAAGGGAAAAGTGACTAGGACCCACACATGTCAGGAATACAATCTATGGGGCAGCCCAGTTCACTCAATCTCATTTCTAACTCCCAATCAATTCTTCTCATCTCTCTTCCCCAATTCCCAACAAGTTCTTCCTGTCTGGCATCTTCAGTATTATTTGCTCCTATTTCTTTAGTTGTTCTCTTTCTTCCTCAATTTGAAGTCAGCAAGACTTATATTCAAACCCCACCTTTACTAATGATCTATTTCATAGAAAGGGTTGACAAGATTTCTAACCTTTCTAGAGCCTTAGTTTCTCCATATGTTAAAAAATAAGAGGAGGATTAAAAAATCACCTATGTTCAAGGTTGGGGTAAAGATTAAATAAGGCAAGAAGGTAAAGTGCCTAACATAATGCCTGGCACATAACAAAAGTTCTACAAATGCTTCATTGCTACTACACCTATTACCTCGGCTGCTGCTTTGCTGCTATTTGTATTCCCCTATAGCACATAGCATATTTCTCAGAACAAAGTGCATAGTGGGTACTTAATAAATGTTACTAGTTGAGAGCACTTCACTATAGCACATATTGTATTGTTGAAAAATTAAATCATATTCCTCTGGTAAATTGAAGTAGGCAAGGTAACTAATAACCATTAAAATAGGTATTTAATTGACAGTACAACTTTGAAAACTAATAGGTTTTTATTAAATAATTACTGATAAATGCACTCCCTATTCTCATTATGGATATTTGCTATTAGATAACTATCACTTGAGCTATTTTATAATAGCCCTCTATGGTGTTGGAAGGGTACAAAAAAATAAATGAGAGAGTTCTAAACCATTTCAAAATATCATAACTGAAGTCATTCACACATCATTTAATATCTCAGAATCTAGATGGCTAATTGATTTTTTAAAAATAAGTCATCAAATGCCAGTTTCAAATGTGTAGCTAAATGCTGGAGAATTTTTTAAATCCTATTTTCCCCTTCCTTAGTATTATCTGTTTTAAAATGCAAGCTGTTTCAAACAGATCTGTGAAACATAGTCTCCAAGCTTCTCCTATATATAACCTTCCTGTAGCTTTTATTTATGACCCTATTCTGGTGCAACATTTTGAGGGCAAAATGTATATGATACCATAGATCATCTATACAAATCAACTTGTGTGAATATTATATTGTTCCCCATGTCAAAACTTTTTGATATGGAAAGGGGTATTAAAAGAAACATTCCCCTATGTGTATAGCAATTTTCTTATAAGTATATTTTATTAATTCCTAAACACTACATATTCTAGCCACAATAACAGTTTATTACTTTCTAAATCTTTCTTCCTAACAGCAAAACATTATACTGTTTATGGGTAAATCAAAATGAAATAACAGACTCATTATATTATATAATGTTTTATGTTTCATTAATGATCTTTTCTGTAATTGAATGCATGCTTCTGATTGTAATAATTACATTGGGCAGAAAAGAAGGCAGATTAATGAATAGAATAAAGAGCTGTCAGAATAGTATCACTGTCTACAGAAATGATTTAAAATACAAAGATGAAAGATAAGAATGATTCTCCAACATACAACACAGAAGGATTACCCATAAATTATTCACACTCCTAGTAAACACATAGGACAGTAGAAATACAGAAACCCATTTGTCTAAACCAGTGGTTCTCAATCAGGGTTGACTTTGTCCCTCAACAGACATTTGGCAATGTCTGAAGACAGTTTTGGTTGACACATCTTGGGGAGGGGGTTGCTATAGGAATCTAGTGGATAGAGGCCAAGAGTGCTGCTAAACATCCAACAATAAAGAGAATAACTTCCCTGGAACAAAGAAATATCCAGCTTCAAATGTCAACAGTGCCGAGATTGAGAAACTCTAATCCCAATCTGGTTATATGTTATGTAAATTAACTCTTTCTCCTTCACTGGTAATTAACTAAACTAAGAGCTAATTAAATTCAGAGCCGTCTCTGGGACAATTATATACAAATTCTAGTTAGCATAAAAATAACTAAAATACAGGCATTAAATAAACTCAAATAGTTCATTATGGCTAAGTTGGTACTTAATAATGTTTGATAAAATGTCTATTAATAAATTAATCAAATTATCTTACTATTTATCAAAATGTTATTGTAATTGATTTTTTAATTGACTGGTATGCTTTATCTTTGCTTACTCTGCCATGCTAGTCTTTTGGCAAAATGGTAACATGCAGAGTTGATGCTCAGAAGGTAAGAGAATAGGGGAAGGAGAAATTAGGAGGCTTGATTAATCTTAAATTGGTTTCTTCTTCTTTGGTTATTTGGAAGTGGATGGCCTTTTAAGTTTGCTGTAGTTTGAATGTCCCCAAAATTCATGTGTTGAAACTTAATCCCCATTGTGATGGTATTAAGATTTTTCGGATGTGATTAAATCATGAGAGTTCCACTCTCATAAATGGATGAGTGCCTTATAAAAGTGCTGGAGGTAACTACTTTAGACCCTTTTGCTGCCCTTTGCGTCTTTCCCCATGTGAGGACATAGAATTTTCCCTTTTTGCTCATTTCCCGCTTCCACCATGTGAGGATGCAGCACGAAGAACCTCACCAGACACCAAAGGCCGGTGCTTTGATTTTGGACTTCCCAGCCTCCACAACTAAAGGAAATACATTTCTGTTCTTTATAAACTACCTAGTCTCAAGTATTTTGTTAGAGCAGCACAAATATGTTAAGACAATGTTTATTTAAAATTTAATAATGGGGTTCATTAGGCCAAAATCTAATTTGAAATGTAGGGAGAAATTATAATTTTTCCCTTTGACCTATAAATAAAATATAATAAAAGTTTAGTTCATTTTCCTTTAGATTTGCCTGCATAGGCTTTGGGGATTTAAATGTAACAGCTTGCCATTTAATCTGCAACAGTTTGACTCTAGATTTCAGCCCTACAAATATAGTGAGGACACTGTGGTTGTTGACAGAAAGGAAAAAAAAAAAGAACAGCTTGGAAAAGTAAAAATTTGTAAATCTCATTGATGTATATCTGCTTAGCTATTAATTTGAAACCTAAAGACACTAATGAGATTAAATATAAAAGAGAAATAATAGAAAAGTCTATGGGTTAGAATTTTAAGTGGAATCTATGGTGAGAAAATTTTACCCCTGCTGTTGACTTCCCCCAGCTCATGAAGCCACTTGTGCCTAGTAAAGTATCTAAAGCAGTCCACATTATTCACGCCACATTTTTGTGTTCACTCATTTGACACTTTCTAAAAAGTACTAGTGCTTATCAGATAATTTTCCATGTTATAAAATATAATACTTACTGTGGGACCACACATAAACTGTAAATTAAGACCTTGTGGAAAGGATTCTTATAAATTACCAACATACTTTTCTGCAATTATCTGTAGGATTCATCCCACAAGAATTTTCTAATACTTTTCTTGATATTACAGTAACATTTTCCTGACGTAATCTATTCTTTAAGGTAATGGCATGATAATTAACTTGTTTCTGATCAATACAACATTGGAGAAACGTGTCATGGAAGAAAGGAATATATAACTTTCCCACCAATCTTTTTTCCTAATTTATTGAGGTATAATTTATATGCAGTATACATAATTTATATATATATATACACAAATACACATGTATAGTTGATATATTGTATAATTTTAAACAGTAGATTGCAAAAATCTTAAATGCAGTTAATTAAATTTGTATCTATCTATATAGCACCTAGTTATATATGTAACCAGCACCCAGATTAAGATATAGGACATTTGCCCAAAAAATTCCCTCATGCTTAGTTGTACCTACACCTTCTAGTAACTGCTATTCTGACTTCTATAAACATAGATTAGTTTTGCTTATTCTTGAACTTCATATAAGTGAAATACAGTATTTCTTTATATATCTGGCTTCTTTTAATTTTTTTTGTTTTTAATTGTTGTGGATACATAATAGTTGTATATATTTATGGGATACATGTGATATTTTGATATAAGTATACAATGTGTAATGATCAAATCAGGGTAATTGGGATATCTATCACACCTCAAGTATGTGTCATTTCTTTGTGTTAGGAACATTCCAATTCCACTCTTCTAGTTGTTTTGAAATATGCCATGAATTACTGCTAACTACAGTTGCCCTGTTATACTATTGAACATTAGACCTTATTCCTTCTATTGGTGTTTTTGTGCCCATTAACAACCACTCTTCATCCCAGCCTCTCCACTGCCCTACTCAGACTATGGTTAACCAGCATTCTACTCTTTATCTCCATGATATCCACTTGTCTTTGGCTCCCACATATGACTGAGAACATGTGATATTTGTCTTTTTGTTCCTGACTTATTTCACTTAATATCTTCCAGTTCCATCCATGCTGTTGCAAATGGCAGGATATCATTTTTATGGCTGAGTAATACACCATTGTATATATGTACCACATTTTCTTTATCCATTCATCCATTGATGGACACTTAGGTTGATTCCATATCTTGGCTATTGTGAATAATGCTGCAACAAACATGGGAATGCAGATAGCTTTTCAATATACTGATTTCCTTTATTTCAGAAATATACTCAGCAGTGGGATTGCTGGATTACACAGTAGTTGTATTTTTAGTTTTTTGAGAAACCTCGATACTGTTCTCCACAGTGGCTGTACTAGTTTACTTTCCCACAAACAGAGTACAAGGGTTCTCTTTTCTCCACATCCTTGCTAGCATTCATTATTGATGTCTGGCTTGTTTTTATGAATGTAAGGTTTTGAAGATTGTTTCATATTTGTGTGTATCCATACTTCATTTATTTTTAATGCCCCAATAGTATAATATTGGATTTGTTTCCTTTCTTACTGAATTTTTTTCAACTTTTAGCTACTATGAATAAAACCAATACGAAGATTTTGTGTGTGTGTGTCTTTTTATGGGCATATGACTTCATTTATCTTAGGTGTATAGCTAGAAGGACTGCTGAATCATTTATACATATTTAGCTTTAGTGGATACTGCCAAAGTTCTCCAAAGTGGTCAAACATTTCACACTTCTCCCAGCAATGTATGAAAAAAATGCTCCACCAAAAAGGGTAAGAATATTTAGTTTAGAAATAATTATACACACAAATATACACAAATATACAAAAGCACACCTCCCTCTAAGTTTTTGTTTATTTTTTTAAACATTTTTGGTGTGGCTATATTATTTGTTCTTCAATTCAGAAGCAAGTTGAGACAGCAATCCAAATAAAGCAAATTGAAAGGTCAAAACCTAAGAGGAACATATTTTAAAGTCTTCTCCATAGTGTAGACCAGTGTTTCCTCAAATCTGTCCCACAAAAATATCAATAGCTATTCTATTAAAACCATATCAAATAAGTTTGGAAATGAAACACACTATATATTTTCCGTACTATAAATGAACCACCATTTAAATTACTATATTAGAGGTTCAGGGAAGTCCTATAGTAAAGACATCTACTTAACTTTGTTTAGCTTATTGCTTCATCAACCAATGGGTTTATTTGACCATGGAACTGTATTCTACTCTTTTTTAAGTGTGCTTATTAATATCTTTGAGAATAACATATTTGTCTTTCTTTGAATGAATCTTCAGACTAATGTGAAATTCCATTTGATTTAGTGGTAATTCCTAAATTAGTGATATGTTTTCCTCAAAAAATAAAAATTATACCAATCCCTGAGATTTTTAAAGCTCTTGGAAACAGATAAGACAGTGGCGGGGTGATTACTGTGCCTGGCTGTTACATTTATAAAAAACATGGTAACCATGCTACCTATCAAGGCCCAGTCAGCAATACCTCTCTTTTACTAACCAGCTATTCTTCAAAGCTCCCAGTAATATATAATGTGACATGATATATTTGCAAGTATACTTTCTGAGTGAATTAATAGATATGTGATAAAAATACCAATTACTACTTCCCTGGAATCACCTGTAGCAAGGGGTATATGATATGAGGAACTGTACAAAGTTATACATGGGATCCTTAAAAGAGCAAAAATAGGGAAAAACCGTAGAACAAAAGTGTTAGGGTAACATTCATCCTTCTCCAAAATGAACAAGGTTACAAAATGGTATGTGTTGCTCACAAGAGAAACTACAGCCTTGCAAAATGATTACTGTATGAGAAGTGAATGAGAAATTTAACTATCCCAAGCAAATTTAGTTTCATTTATCCAGTATCCGTCTTGTAAAATAGCTTCATAAATTTTCCTCTTATTCTTCAAAGTAAATTCTACTAAATCTAGTTTAACATTTCAAAAGTAGATCCAGGGACAAATCCAAGAAAAATAGCCCAATTTAAAAGGAAAATGTGAAACCGATTTCACAACTAAGTGTGAGTCCTCAGACATTTTTTTTGAACATTAACCACAATAAGTCCACTGAAAACAATGAGCACAGACAGTAGCCATCACACTAAAAAGAAAATCACTCACAACGAGGTGACTTAGATACCTGGCTGGGATTCTCACTTTTTTGAAATGAGACCACAGTTTCGATTTCAAGGCATACAATTTCTTGTAATAATTTTCATTTGGCATTTTCCGCCTGGGTTAACAGATCATTCCCAATTCAACCCAAGTGCAAATGTAAACTTCACTTACCTGCACAAAACCACATGCTGTGAAGGCCTCAAACAAGGGCAGACTTGGGCGGTCTTCTCTATAGATGGTGAGTTTGTACGTGATCAGAGTCTCACCGTGTGCTGGAGATTCATCCACAACAAATATTGAGATTTTGTTCATTCCTAAGCCCAGAGGGTAGCTGGCAAAGCTGGAGAGAAAGAGGGAGAGAGAAATAGAATATGAATAGGGGAGATTTATTCAGCCCAAACTGATTCATATATCAATATTTACTAAATACCTATTTGAATAAATAACAGGAAAGGTCTGTACAATTTCATAAGAAACCTAAACTATGAAAATAAATAAATATCTCTTTCACAGTACTTTACTATGCCAAGAGTGTTCTTTTAGGGCAAGTTATATCTTCCACAATTAAAGCAAAGGAAACTAATATTTATTAACCACCTGCCAGGGTCACACATTATCTCATTTAATACAATAGGATTGTCCCCATTTTAAATATAAAGACCATGACCTAGAACTGGTAAACACATCATTCAAAGTCACATAGAAGAGTCAGGGTTTGGAACCCGGGTTGTCCTGACTTGAATCTTTTCTTTCTACTAGACGTGGCTCCCGAGGGTTCCAAGTACATTTCCTTCCCTACAGCATGGAACCATGAGTATCTTCTTTGCTATGGACACAGCACAGAATAAGGTTCTATCTTCTTTTTAAAATTATGAACAAAAGAGTTGCTGACTTTTAAAAGAATCAATAGGAAAAAAAGCCAGTGAGGTTAGAAAAGTTAGGGGTACTGTGTCCACAAATTGTGCACCAATTGGTTTAAGCAATCAATTTTTGAATATTCAAAAACTTGACATCTTCGAGAATGTTAAAACATGAAGACAACAATAAGTAAAATTTTTCCTTAATGGATCTTCTCTATATTTCATATAACAAGATCCTTTCTTGTTAAAATATTGTTACAAAGATGAGCTGCAAAGGTTACAAATCTTTTTTAAAAAAAATGAGAAGGGGAAAGTTCACATCCTGGCAATCTTTCAACTGATCTTATGAATCAGCTTTTCTGAACCACTTTCAAAGTTTGCATCAAATGTCTACTTCCCAGTATAGTGTCTCAACACAGCCCCAGTCAACATCTCATACCTTGGCCCTGCCTGCTCGTACAGGTGCACCTTGCACAGACACTTAGGAGTTTCCACTCCAATTGTCACTGTTACCACATCAAATGGGACTTCACAGTAATAATCTTTGATCTTTGGATGAAAGTCAGGATTTAGTTCCAAATGTGGATGTGTGAAGATCTGCTTGATATGACATGGTGTGTTTTCATCTGTTAAAAAAACAAAAACAATGACAAAGACAACTGTGAAGTGGGTAAATATCTTTAAATAATATATGATTAGGTTTTTCTTTTTCTGTTTCCTTTGAACAACTTCAATGATCCCTGCTGACTTTCCAATCAGTACCCTGATCATAGTTGATTTGTGGCTGCAGCTGGCTTTTCAATTCATCAGATTTGGTAGAATTTGCTTCATATAACAGCTGTTGACTTTAGTCGGCGTTATATAGATGGTATTTTCTGCTCAGCCCTTGAAAGTTTAAAGGCACACAAGGCGGGAAAATGTCTCTCCTGTGGATTGATAACATTTTCATGATATTTACTGCATATATCAAGCAACTATGTAAGTGGGAGTGATGGCTCTGTGGGATGGTGGCAGAAGAGGACCCGCAAGGAATGAGGAAAATTTCTTAATGTGGAGTGTCATTGAAATACCACTTGATTGATATAGTATCTTATAGGCAGTGTGGGGCAAAGACTGCAAACTCCAGCATTATACCAAACAGACACAAAAACAAAGGCATCCTGAAACTGCTCCATGCTCAGGCCACCTTACTTGGGAAAGTACCATAAAGTATAAGAAGGACATACTATCCTCTGCTCCATCCTGTCATAGAATCTAGAATATTACTTCATATCATTGATTCTGAGGCATTAAAAAAACCTTTCTCTTTGTTAGCCCAATTATTTACAGCTTTATTTCAGTGAGAAAGAAAGAAAAAATTGTTTTATAGGCACATACACCAGCTACTGTTAAGTTATATTCAATGTTAATGTTTAGAATAAACAAATTACCCAAAAGCTTAACAAAGTGTTTTTCAAAGAAATGTCAAGGAGTATTTCATTCCATCAATACTTTCCAATTGTCAACAAAATGCTAACAAAGATAAACATACAAAATTCTATAAAAATCAGTAAAATTGAAGTATCTTGGTGTTGCCTTACATAAAATGTTCAGTGACATTTAACAACATGGCAACAAAAAAGATAACACAGAATTTGCTACAGAAAGCTATAAAACTGAACTTAGAGAAAGGAGATTATTTTAGTAACTGTTGTTTTTTCCCCTGCTTTTACGTAGCTATAATATTGATTTTCCTAAAATCAAATCTGTTGATTTGTCTTCCATTCTTTAGTGGTTTCTCATCATTTCCAGAGTCAAGTCCAAGCTCCCAATAAGGCAAACAAGGCATTTCACAATCCCTTCCTTGTCTTGCTCTCCAGCTGCATTGCCCATTTTGCCCAGTCTTTGTGCTTCAACAAGACCAAAATTTTTATTTTTCTTTGATGGACGTGGAGGTGCACCACCAAATCCATGACGATGGGTACCACCAACCCATATGGATGCATCATTCTAGTTCTGGGGACTAGGTCTCTGTATAGCTCCCATTATGGACTAATACAATTAAAATGAAAAAAAAAACCCTATATATTTCTGACCTATACTCTATAGTTTTCTCAGGCTATGGAAGAAAAACAAATTCAGGTATAAATTATGAACAATAATAATACAATAGATATACTGTAATTTTATTTCATAAAAAATCTTAATAAAAAATAAACTACTAGTAATGTTGGTTGAATAACTCACTGAATTGGGTAAACTCTCTGCTTCATTAATTTTACTTGTAATTTGACCTAATGGTCAATGAAAGATAGTATCTGGCTGATAGATGTAGGTGGACTGCATCTATAATTTCAACGATCCTAACAGCCCCTGAAATTTTCTTATAATAAAAAAGAAAAAAGAATGAAGGCAGAAATTGTTTTTATTAGAAGTCATTCTGTAAAGGACCACAGTTTTTAATTCAAATTCAACCACTTATTAATACTACATTCTTTTTTCATCAAAGTTTTTTCTCCAGAAATTTCTCCGTTAAAGACCCCGAGATAAGCACAATAAAAACAGGATATTATTAATCATGAGGTTTGATTCAAATGGCTGCAAACCCAATATAACATTAAACAAGCTGGAGTTGAGTTATGGGCTGTGCTTTGGAAATGACCATTACCCAGGCACAAAGGGAATAGAAACAGTCGCACTTTTCTGCTCAGAACTAGCAAAGTGAATAACAAAGAGGAAGATCTTTTTTCAAAATAAAACATAGAAGATGTGCTTTAACTTGATAGAATATATTTTTATAAAGATTCTCTGAGAGTTAATTTCCCTGCAGTTTATACTTTCACTTAATAGTCACGGTTTTCAATGGGGTCTGCCCTCCTTAGAAACTGAAACAGCCCTAGATGACAGGAAATAAATGTGCAATCGTTCTCTTCAGCAAGTGCTTATTTTTGGTTTCATCAGAAAGTCTCCATCTCTGGTGTGAGCACTATCTCCTAAACCCCTGTCTGAAAGCTGATTTAGTTCTGACATCATCTTCCACTGAAGTATCAGTGTTGCCGCCAAAAACACCTGGTGTTTGCTTGGCATCTTTCCCATCCCAGTCTCAACTTGTCTCAGGCCAGCTTACCTGAGATCTACGGAGAACCCAGCACGAGGTACGGTGGTAGCAGGCTGCTTAACCTATTTGGCAAGTATATATGGGAAAGCTGTTTGAAGTTTTGGTCGCTTTTAATGGATTTCTTTTAACTGCAGAATTTGATTGCTCTCTTGAGGAATAATCATAACTCATATTGAACATGAGAAGAGCCTAGACTCTTAAAGATAATCCCACCTGTTCTGAGGCATCCTTACATTATTTTTAAATCTTATTTTATACCATAAAAGCAGGAAGATTAATTACTAAAGATCCAGGCAGGACTAATTTTTATCAGCATAAAAACATGAACGAAGTTAAAGTGCCTATCTAACATATTCACATCATCTACACCATATTACATGGGAACTGGAAAAAAAAGTAAGATCATCCAATGCAATCCTTTCATTTTACAAATGAGAAAATAGAAGCCCAAAGAGGCGAAGTTGCTTTCTGGATGTTGCATCTTGCCTTGGGCCTGGCACAGAGTGGACCCTCAACAAGTGTTCACTCTAATTTTGCTCCTAGTTTTCTCACTAGTCCTTTTCCCACCATACTCTAGACAACAGTTTTCCAGGAGAATGGAGTAGCATGTATTTTTCTGGGGGTAGGAGATTGGATGGTGAGTGCAGGGAAGGAATGGCATAAGTAATACTTGCTATCTTTGTTCTCTATTAGCAATACTTTATTTAAAATGCCATTTTCTTTAATTGGCTATATACGTTAATTCTATTAAACTATATTATTATAACCTCTCAGCCTACCATGACCTTAACAATAGTGATAAAACATCATGAATGAATTAAATTGCATTTTAGATGAAAATTAGATTTTATTAAATTCAAAGACGTCTATTAATAATAAATTAGGCCAGCCACGGTGGCTCATTTCTGTAATCCCAGTACTTTGAGAGGCTGAGGCGGGAGGACCACTTGAGATCAGGAACTCAAGACCAGCCTGGGCAATGTAGCAAGACCTCCTTTCTATACAAAATTGCATAAATTGTCCAGATGTAGTAGCTCATGCCTATAGTCCTAGCTACTTGGGAGGATGAAGGAGGAGGATTGCTTGTGCCCAGGAAGTCGAGGTTGCAGTGAGCTATGATGGTGCCACTGCACTCCAGCAAGGACAACAAAGTGAAATCCTATCTATAATAAATAAATAAATAATATAATAAATTAAATCTAAATCTATACTTTTTTTCAGCTTTACTGTTTTACTGAAATTGATTTTTTATTTGTGGAAAACTAAATTTTCTAAGTTGATTTTTAGCACCAAATACATACAGCTATATGTATACATATACATACACACACGTATATATATATTTTAAGGTATACATTATCAAGAAAAATCTTGCTATATAGAACTCAATTTTTCTACACTATATTATAGAATATTAAGAAAACTCAGGAGTTTTTCTTTTTCTTTTCTTTTGGAGACAGTGTCTTGCTATGTCACTCAGGCTGGAGTACAGAGATGCAACCATAGCACACTGTAACCTCAAACTCCTGGACTCAAGTGATCCCCCTGCCTTGGCCTCCCAAAGCACTGGGCATATAGGTGCATGCCACTGTGCCCGGCCTAAATTCAGGAGCTTTGAACAGAGAATCTGAAGATCTAGCTTTGTGATACAGCTCAGGCATTTAATAACCCTGTGACTTTGGAAAAATCAATTAGACTCTCTAAGATGATATATTTGCAAGACCATCGTAATAATAATACTGACCACAATGAAGAAAATCATTTTTAAAGTTAATACAAACTTAAAAGTACTTACGTTTCTCGTATTATGTCTTGGTTAAAAAATGAATTAAAAAAATTGAAAATTGGCTTAAAAACTCTCAACTGTTACAAAGAAAATTCTACTCAAGTACTAACCATTACAGCAACAATCTGGTGAGAAAGAAATCACTGCCAGGTAGTGAGACCCCTAAAGATCAGTATATAAAGCTGATAAGCCAAGCTCTTACATCTGAAAGGCTTCCAAGGCAATGCCCTACAACTCCTAAAGCCCTTCAAAGTGGGTTTGGAAGTCATTGTCCTTAAACAAAAAAAATGTAATATTTTATGTTCTTATGCAAAAGTGATAGATACTGACTCCATTGGAAATCTAATAACTTCTAAAATTTACTTTAACAATTATCAGCGTAAGATACCCACATATAATAAAATGATGCATTTTTTTTCAAAGTAAGGCTGTTCCCTAATTGTTTATTATGCTGCTACAACACTTTAATCTCAACTCACCATCACTGCAATGTATTTCTTTATTTTCATTTTTAATTTGTGGAACTGCAGCTAAAAAAAAAAAGAAATGTAAATTTAAAATAAAAACCATTAATCAAAATGTTAAAATATACATTTAGCTATTAGATAACTTAATAAAACATGTTTTTCATTTAACTTTTATTATACTAGTGAACACTTCTAAGTCAAACTGTAAACTACAATAAAATAAGTTATTTTATTCAGAGCTCAGAAGAATTATTATTTCAAATAGAAAAATATTAAGAGAGAAAATGAATGGTCTAAATGCCATTTATTGCCTGACGTTGATCAGCCAAGGTTCCTTATAGCTTTTATATCCTATGACTATAATTTCCCAAATCATTAGAATTGTAAGAGTGCCATCCAGTTGGTTCCAGTAATATTTACTCTATATTTTTAATTCAACCAAATATTTATTTTAAAAACTCCTTAATACATATTTATGAAACAAATGAATGAATAAAACACTCAGGGTGCTTAAATCATTCATTTATAGAGGAAAAAACTGGTGGGCAAAAGAAAGGCAGTTTCTCTCAGCTCTTCACTGCACCTACTGATTCATTCTATTGAACCAGTGATTCTCAAATTCTGGCCTCAGAATCATCTGAAGGGCTTGTTAAAAGACAAATCGCTGGGTCTCATCACCAGAGATTCTGACTGAGTAGATCTGAATTGCTAGGTTTCCCAGGTGATTCTGGGGAGAGGGGGACACACATTGAAAACCACTGTATTGGGCTAAATCCTGTTTCACAATAGAACAACTTTGAACTAAAAAAAAATATTATTGACATATAGGTGGGTACTTCTTTTCACTTTTTTTCTTTTTAAAATTAGAAGTAGTTTTTTTCTTGTAACAAAAAGCTCAGATGTTCTTTGGAATGAAAAAATGGGAAAAAAGAGATAAGCCAAAGAGGAAAAATATAAGTCACCATTGATTTTTCCTGAGCTTCACGGTGAGGTAGCCAATTGTTAGTTAGGTTTAACAATAGATCATAAAGAATTTTCATGTCATAAATATTCTTTCACAACAGAAGAATGGATTT
Organism: Homo sapiens; assembly: GCF_000001405.40. Classification (NCBI taxonomy): domain Eukaryota; kingdom Metazoa; phylum Chordata; class Mammalia; order Primates; family Hominidae; genus Homo; species Homo sapiens. The sequence continues at coordinate 121,135,026 of NC_000007.14, read as the reverse complement.
ATAACATTTTATTTGATGACTCTAGCTTAATTTGTGTGTCCAGTCCACTCTTATTGCAATAGTAATGAACTCTATTTTTTTAATTTGTTGATAATTTATGTAATTAAATTTTGTATATATTATTTCCTTAAAATGAACATTTAGAAGTAAAATTTCTGATCTATAAAAATAACTTTTAAAGCTTTTCTTAGATTTTAAATGGCCCCTTAATAGAGGTTGTTCTAATTTATACGTCCACCAGCACTATGAGAATACTGATTTCCATACACTCTCTCCAACTTTACTATCTTTTTTAAAGTTTTATTTTAATTGACACATAATTCTGGGGTATAATGTGAAATATTTTGATACATGTATACATTGTGTAATGAATAAATGTGGCTAATTAGCATACCTATCACTTCAAACATTTAACATTTCTTTGTGATGAGATCATTCAAAATCCTCTCTTCCAGCTATTTAAACATATATATTGGTTAACAATAGTCATCCCACTTTTTAATAGAACAACAGAACTTTTTCTTCTACCTAACTATAACCAATCTCTAGCCACCTCCTTCCCTTCCTACCCTCCCTGGCCTCTAATAACTACTATTCTACTCTCTATGAGAGCATAAAACTGGTAAACCCTCTCTACTTCTGTGAGATCAACTTTTTTCGATCCCACATGAGTGAGATTATGGGGTTTTTATCTTTTTGTGTCTGGCTTATTTCACTTAACATTCTCCAGGACTATCTATGTCACAAATAACAAACAACAGGATTTCTTTCTCTTTTGTGGCTGAATAGTATTCCATTGTGTACATACACCCCCATTTTCTTTATCCATTCACTGATGAACACTTAGTTTGATTCTATATCTTGGCTATTGCGTGTAGTGCTGTAGTTAACATCAGAGTACAAATATCTCTTCAACATACGGAGTTCATTTCCTTTGGATAGATATCCAGTAGCAGGATTGCTGGATTCCCTCTCTATAATTTTAAGAAAATCCTTTCCAAATTTAAGGGAAAATAGCATTTCCTCATTTAATTTTCATTTTTGATTGCTAATGAAGCTAAATAGTTTTGCATTTTTTTGCCAGGAAATACTTATTTTTATGTTGAAATAAGTGGGAATATCTATATTTTTACCTTTTTTATTTTCTATTGCATCAAATGGCACTTGTGGTTTTTCAATGTTCTTATCTTCTGTGAAAGAATTCCTGCAAATGCAATGCCAAACAACTCTGGATTAATGAAATGAACAAAACGCGTGGAAATTACATCTAACACACTATCTTTTCTTCTGTATGGGCACAGTTACTTTGATGAACACAAAAAAACGCTTTCTGCATTTCAATCCTCAAAACTGGCAATCTACCCTCAAAGGAAGTAGGTGGAAATCTCATCATCCCTAATCAGTAGAAGCATATTTGAAGAAAACCAGGGTAAAAAGTCCCTCTCAGTCCAAATCTGAGGAATCTCAGATAGCTTGGGTCCAATAGAAGTGATTCAAGAATACACATTCTTATTGGAAATCTGTTTGGCTATAGTTACACTGTTTTGGAGCAAAAAATCTTGGAATCACCAAGGCACAGCCTGAGAAGAACATACATTTAATTGAAGAAATAAGTATACCATGCAGAAAATGACCTATGTCTTGCCAAGTCTTCTACCCTTAAACTCTAATTAACAGTAGTGAATAGCAAGGGTTAGTTAAATTCTGGTGTGTTCACCTAATTTTCTCTGTTGTATAACTAACTAAATACTTGGCCAGATTGCCCTTTAAATCCTCAAATTTGGGACCAAAATAATTTAAATTGCAGACAGAAAAATTGCTGGTCCTGATGATAAAGAACAGCAGGCAGGATCATCTGCAGGCCCCTGACAAGACTTTCCTGTGCTGGTGCAAATCTCCATTTCCACCCCAGCACAATGGAGATAACAATGTTTACCTTACTTCACAGGGATGCTATGAGAGTTAAATACAATTTTCTTTGTTAAATAACATTTTAGAAATATGTATTGTCCCAGATATTGTGCTGCGTACTGTAATGGAGAAGAGATGAATATGACATATTCAGCTCCAAATATAAACATCAGCTAGGAAATTTAAAAGCATCAAGGAATTAAAATTATTGCTAAAGTTGGAAGCCATGATAATTTTTTGCAGTTTTATTTTAAAAACTGTTTATTCCAGGTGACTTTTACAAAAGACACAACCCTGAAATGCACAGAAACTGAAGTTTGGAAAGGTTACTATCTTAATGGAATGAGACACTGTATGTAAAGGCATCTTGCAGTGATTTTCTGCATAATTTTGTGAATACATTGTTTCAAATCCATGTGGATTTTCATTGAAAGCATTTCCTTAGAGTAATGTACAATGCAACTGTACTTCTAGGAAGGTAAAATTAGCACATGGTGCACCACATTGATTTTAAGATTTTCATTCTGTTCAGATTCACACTAATTCTGTTGAGATCTCTGGATTTTGAGCCTCAGGACAAACATATAACTATTACCTGGTATTGTCAAGCTTTCCTGACTTTCTCACCTCGTTGCTACAAGACAATGATCTTTCCTTAAAAGGAAAGATGAAGTCATTGAACACAGGTAATGTACATCCATAAAGTTGACATTTTCTATAGAAAAAACTGTGGTAACCATTGAGAAGATAAGGACAATGATGGCCTCCCTGTCTGCGTGATGTACTGGATCATCAATGAGCCCTGGACCAAAGCACTGGACCATTGGTGAGAAGGCTAGGGTCCTAGTTCCAACTCTATTTCTATTAGCTTTGTAACCTGAACAAACAACCCATCTTATTAGCACTTCATTTTCTCATCTGGAACATGTATATAACATGCATCCTCATTGCAATATGGCATGAATGATAATTAAATATATACACATTCACTGGTAACCTTGAAGATAATTAGATTTGGGCATTTTTTTCTTGAATGCAAATGAAATTAGCAATATACTAATTGCTTGTTGACAAACGTAGTAAGGTTTACTTGTCTCACTATTAACTTAAATATTTCAAACTTGTCGTGCTTTTCCCATTAAAAAAAAAAAAACATTACCCCCACTATAGAAGCTAAAATGATCATTGAATAGAAACATGGAAAGGAAAGTATACTGATATTTACTATCTACCTGTGCTACAGCGTATCAGATGCTATGTAGCAAATGAAATTTTATGTAATCATACTGAAATATACATAGTTCATAGTATAATGCATATTTTGCAGATAAGAAAACTGAGTCTCAGAGGGGTTCAAACCTGTCTTCATAAATTCTAAAGTTGGGATTTTTGAATATAGTCTCTATGACTCAAAAAAGTCCTCACCCTTTCCAACTATACTCAACACTGACCATTAGTAAATTTTCTTATTAGAAGAGAATTCAATCTTCTAAATTTAAGATCAGAACACTGCTTAACCTTACAACATACATGGAGCTTGAGAAAAATTTGCTTGGGAACAAACTTTCCAAAGTTTGAGTATCTTCAGGGAACTTCCTCAAAGTTAAAAAAAAAAAAAAAAAACTTTGAAACAGCTTCCTGTGGAAATCAAGTCTGTTTTTCACCCATCTATAATAAATGAGACAGTCTTAGATTATTTGAGTGAGTGTAAAGTACAAACAAAGTGTCTCTGAAGTATGTTATTTAAAACCTAATTTTCAAACACATAAACAAAACCTTCTGCTGGGCCTACTACTTCCAGGTATTGAGGAAATAAAACCAGCTTCTTAAAGCCATGGCAAATAAGGTGAATTCTGATCCTGGGATATGTCCTAAGAATTCTTCAAATATATGATTATTCAAATTTTTGAATTGTAAAAATAAAGTTTTTATAGAACTGTTTTCACTATATCCTTAGCAGAAAGAAGTGAAATGTAAGTCAATAGAGCTGAAGCCATGGCCTAGGGTGACTGCAAAAGACTTAAATGATTATGGCAGGGCCATTTAGTCTTTCATCTCCCTAGGAGGTTTAGGTTTACTTCTGTTTTGCTGCCAGTAGAAAAGTCGAATGCTCCTGTAATTCCATCCATATAAAAGAGAAGCAGAAAAAACCTTAGGTGTTGCCCCTTTTCCCTAACTAGTGGAGATAAAATTTTATCCATCTCAGTTCCCTCTTATTCCCTAATTACTACCTCTCATTAGAATGGAAGTGAAGGTGGGAAATTTTATCTTATCCAAATATTTTCCTCTGAGATTCTACCTTCTAAAAAAAGAAAAACCCCAAAGTTCTACCTTCTGAAACCAAAATAGGAATCAATTGTGACAAAGACAGAACATATGTATATACATTCAATGGGTTTTGCTCAGAAAAAAGTCACACCTCAAAAACTTTCTAAATAAATAATTTTACTGTCTCAAGCTGCCACTCTGACTGATGGTTCATAAAACACATCTCATCTAATTACTTCTGTCTGATACCCTCACAATTCAAGAATATATATCACTGAAGGAAACTAGATTGAAACTTTCAATTCTAAACATTATAGTGGAGTCAAGTCTTGTTGGTTTAAAAAACTGTTGGATACATTTTTATTAAAGTGTTTGAAGACCACTAGAATCATTATGGTTTCAATGTTTAAAGACATTTATTTTCCTGAGCATGGAAATTTGGACACACTTTTTTGTTGTTGCTGCTTGCTTTAACATAGGCAAAGCCTTTTGAAATCAATCTGTAAACTAGAGATTTTTTGGATTGTACAATTCAAATTTGTGGCTATCTTACCATTCCAGTGGATGTGGCTGTGTCTTTTTATTCATGAACTGAAATTGTTCAAATACATTTAAAAGAGACCAGTATTGGGTCAGGACTGAGCCAGGATTTCCCACAGGATTTGCCACATCATAAAATTCATGCATCAGTGACTGAATCCCAGGAGTAGTAGATGGGAAGAGCTGAGAACACAAAATATCAGTATAAGTTATGGAAAACAAATTATAATGTAGTATTACTATGAACAGCCTTATACTTAGTCATTTATTTAAAAAGTCAGATATTTGTTAAAAATCCATTGGTCAGTACCATAAATTAGTTTTCTGCAAAGTTGTTGATGTAAATGCCACTTTTTATAAGAAACTAATTTTGTTGATGATCATATTTCCAAATAGGGTGAGTTTTTTTTTTTCTTTTCATTGAATATAAGCGGATTTCTCTTTCCTGTTACAGATACCAGAAGACACATGAATAACAGAGTTAGGCAGCAGGAAGAATGAGAGAGCCTCTTGGGTTACAAATGAATTATGTCAGAGTGAGAAATATTAATCTTCCCCTCTTTCCCCCGCAAATAAAAATCTGTGGTTATCTCCTTTCTACTGTGAGAACCAGGAAATTGGAATTTTCTCTTTCTCTTGCAAAATAATTATTTAGTTCTTCCTCAAGTTATGATGAGAAATGTTCTCCATAGTAACAGTATCTAAAGTTATAAATTCCTGAAGAGCAAGGCAGATCCCTTTTATTATCTTTTTATAGTATTTAGTCAAACTGTTGTGAATGTAATACTTATACGTTTAAAATAGTTAAAATGATATTGTGCCAACTCAATTATCTTTGGGGAAATTAGCTTACTCTGAATCCTCCAAAATTTGGGACCAAATTAGAAAAAGGAGTATCAAACACTCATTAATTAACTTAGTAAGTTGATTAAACTCATACAAGTAGTGTATGTATGTATATATATATATACGTATATATATATATATATATATACGTATATATATATATATATATATATACATATATACACACACACATATACTTTTTACAAGTAAGATAAATACTTGAGTGAAACATCAGGGTAATAATAAATGATTAATGATTAAGAATGCTATTTCAAAAAGATATTTCATATGAACAAATCTTAGGTGGAAAAATACAAATTCATTTCAGTCTATATAAGTATCAGAACTGGAAAGAAAACAAGTATTAAACATGCATTTCACACTCAATAAATTATCCTTTGATACTAACCAAGGAATTAACAAAATACATAGAAGATAAAATGAATGCCTTTTTTAAAAGATATAAGCCAGTAAAAGTTATAATTATTTACATTTTCTTTCTTTGAAGTTTGATATAGAGTTATAAGAAATTAAGGTTTAGGCAGTCTTCTAAAATATTATTTTCAACTCTATATGATTTTACAAAAACAAAAAGGGTATAATAAGCAGAAATAACAAGGGGATAATAAGCAGAAATAACTTTTGGTTGCATGTAAATGTTCTGAAGCTAAAAGTAAAACTTCTTCAGAAAAATGTTGGCATTTTCCCCTTGAAAACTGTCAAATTCTGGCAGCTATGCTAATCCCATGTTCTTTTACCTTTAATAAGTCACATATTGTTTGCAAACTCTTAAAGTTATGCATATAAATCTTGCTCATTTTGCTACTTAGATCTCTGAAAGAGCAAAGTAGCTTATAAAGATTTCTATTTCTTAAAGAAATACTTAATCTAGTTTGATGTCAAAATCAGGTAGCTTACAGTGATCTACTCTAATCCCAGTCACCAAGAAAGAATCAAATGTCACTTTTGCTTTACCAGTTGGAATTGTCCCAGACTTCCAAGTTCCTTTATGAAAGTCATAATTGAGTTAATTTCTTCTAAGGACAGACACTGATTTAGTTCCTTTTGATAGTTTTCACCCTGTATTGGTAGGGGGAAAGAACTTAAGCAATTGTTAAAAAGTCAAACCATGTTCAACCCAATTACCTCCCATTTCATCAACCAATCAGATTTTGAGTTCTATAAACAACTGAGCTAATTAATGTTAAATAATACATAGCAACTTCAACTTGTCACAGTGGTGTCTGAATATAAGAAAGCTTCATATCTGACAGGGAGGACCTGGATAAAATAGCTCAATGATGCTTTGGTAGTGAGGTTGGGGAGATGCTAACGTGTTATAAAAATCAATCCATGTTATTTTGAAGCACTCTGCTCTATTCATTGGCATTTGCCCAAACATGACAATAGATGTGAATGCTTAAAAAAAAATAGCATTATAATTCAAGTCCTCTGACGTCAATCTGGAGCACTCACTGCTATTCTAGACTGCCTCCAAAGAGTTCTAACATTTCTTTTAAAGTATACTATAATACATGTAATGAACCTGCACATGTACCCTCTGAACTTATAAGATGAAAGAAAAAATTAAAAAATAAAAAAGTATTCTGTAGCATACAATACATATTATTCATAATATCCACAAACATTTCGTAATCCCAGCACTTTGGGAGGCCGAGGCAGGCGGATCACGAGGTCAGGAGTTCAAGACCAGCCTGGCCAACATGATGAAACCCCGTTTCTACTAAAAATACAAAAATTAGCTGGGTTTGGTGGTGCATGCCTGTAGTCCCAGCTACTTGGGAGGCTGAGGCAAGAGAATCTCTTGAACCCAGGAGGCGGAGGTTGCAGTGAGTCAAGATCGTGCCACTGCACTCCTGCCTGGGTGACAGAGCGAGACTCTGTCTCAAAAAAAAAAAAAAGAAAGAAAAAGAAAAAAAGAAAAACAAAAAGAAAAAATAAGAAATTATGAACACTATACTTAATTTTCAACCCATAATTTTATCATAATCAGTCACTTACATACTTAGTTGACATAAAAATAATCTTAGTCCAGAGGTCAGAAAAAATTAAGAAGTGTGATATAATAGATACCAATTAATTTGAAGTGAATTATCAAGTTGCTGAATTGCAGAATAAGGAGAATGACACCTTCTAAGGAATGACTTGAAAAAATATTTATCAGTACACAAATATGCACTTACCTTGAAAACATCTGATCTATAAAGTCTCTGAAATATCTCAGAAAATATGGAAAGTGATGATTCATTAGGGAAGAGAAAATTGAAAGTGTCATTTAAAAGGAATTCTTCTGTATTTTGGTCCTCAAAATCCATATTATCATAATCTTGAAAATTTAAATGCTCGTGTACCTTTGAAAGAACAAAAGCACAGCAAATATTTTTCATCGATTTACTTTTAAGACAATGGAATTACTTCTAAGACATGATTTATTTCCTGTTGGATTATAGATCAGAACTGACATCTAGTGGTCTTTTTGGAAGTCAACAGTTTTATAAATGTGAGTAATTTTTTTTAAAGATACAATTTAAAGATACAATTATTTAATGTACAGTATAAGAAAATTAACTAATATAAAGTCACATTAGTTTATCTCGATACCCTTTATAGCTGAAGAATATGCTTTCATGGAAGATAATACATAACATTTCTTTCTGAACAACAGATTTTAAAAAGCATAATACAAACTATTAGGTATGCATGCAAAACAATGAAAAAATGAGTATTTAAAAGTGTCAGTTAATTAAGTTTTAAATTTTTATGGAGAAATCTTGGAATTATTTAACCAAATGTATGAGCCATCTATAATGTAATTGGCTTACCGGAATAATAGTTTGAGGACACAGAAATGTTATACAAAGCTATATTCTAGTTATACATAATTTTATTTTCCCCTTCTTCCTTTTTTCCCACCCTGTATTCCAAGGTAGAACTTTCTATAGACTAATTTAATAAATTATTTTTTATGTTTTTGCCTCTAAGGGCTATGTTAGAGGAAAAACAAAATATGTTGGGGGAGATAATATGAATGAGTATATTTAATTTGAGAGGAAGGAAAAGAATCAAAATGGGCAAAAACACTTCACTCTACACATATCTATATCAGAAAAAAAAATTCAAAAATTCCCATGGTTTTTTTAAACTAAATATAAACCAATTTTAAACTAAATATGTATATGTAAAAAATAAAAGTTATCTTTTTATACCCTCATGTGAATACGCCAGATAATCTGTTACTTTCTATTATCTACACATCCTCTTTTTTCCTTTAATGCATACTTGACTTCATACCACATTTATTTCACAAATAGTACTTGAACCATAGAAAAATTCATGTTTATTTTACAGAGACACATAGGCAGGATTGGACTCATAGATTCTCCACATACTAGTTAATTGTCTGAACCACAGTGAATATAAGCCTACAGTACTTTTGCAAATTGCTATTTATTGATTGGTTACTATGAATGAAAACAACAACAACAACACACACACACTGATCTCTCACCACAAGGTAGAAGCTCACATGAGGCCTTTGGCATACTGACCTGGAGCACTACAGGGTACATGAAACTGCCATAACCAATATCAAAAGTTAGAAGTTGAAAGCAGAATCTGCATCTAAAATGAAAACACAAGGTACCATAAAAGTAAAGATACATGCACATGGATGTTTATTAATGCACTATTTATAACAGCAAAACTTGGAACCAACCCAAATGCCCATTAATGATAGACTGGATAAAGAAAATGTGGCACATACACACCATGGAATACTATGCAGCCATAAAAAAAGGATGAGTTCAAGTACTTTGCAGGGACATAGATGAAGCTGGAAACCATCATTCTCAGCAAACTAACCCAGGAACAGAAAACCAAACGTTGCATGTTCTCACTCATAAATGGTAATTGAACAATGAGAACACATGGACACAGGGAGGGGAACATCACACACTGGGGCCTGTTGGGGGTTGGGGGGCAAGGAGAGGGAAAGCATTAGGACAAATACCTAACGCATGCAGGGCTTAAAACCTAGATGATGGATTGATAGGTGCAGCAAACCACCATGGCATATGTATACCTATGTGACAAACCTGTACATTCTGCACATATATCCCAGAACTTAAAGTAAAATAATAATAATAAAAACTATATTCTCTTGCTACATTTACTCTTATTTGGTGTCATATTAATAATCACTATTGTTAATTTTCAATATATCTACTAATTAAAAAGAGCAGTGGCTTGGATAATGTAAAATTACATGTGATAAATTTTTGGATTTGGATTCTGTTTTATTTCTTATAGAAAATAAAAATATACCTAAATATTCATAACACATTAAACTAAGCAATAAAGTTAATCCATGGAAACCTAAATACGAAGAAGAAAACTCTCCTACTCCTACATGCTAGGTACCTATTCACATATAAATTATGATAAGGTTTAAATTGATGTGCTTCCCCCACTTTTTGACGTACGAGATTTAACATTTCCTTAGAACAAAGGCAATAAGTTATAGTCAAGTAAACAGATATGGGAATAGGAGTTATTGAATTTTCTTAATAAAGTTCTTCATTTTCTCCTCTGCATTATGAAATCAGTGGGATATTTGAGAATGAAATTTATTATGTATAAGTAAAATTATACCTAGTCAATGCCAAGTATCTATGATAGAAACAGTTGCACTTGAAAAGGCGGCTGCAATTAAAAGATTAACTTTGAAAATGCGCACTTTACTTCTTGTTACCACTATTTAGATACTACTGAGTCTGCCACACGTTCTAAAGTTTTAGGATCTATAAATATGGCCACATATGTTTAGAAGATCATGTTTGTATATTGACATAAAATTTTCCAAGTACCACCTACTTATGATAATTAAGATACATTTCCACCAACAATTTTTAAAAGATAGGTTGCTTTCTTTCTTTTCTTTTTTTTTTAAATTAAAATTTGTTTTTTACCTATGGAAGGTCTTTGGTCCCAGAGTAGATGTTTCACTGAATACTTCAGCCGCTAGCAGTAGTTTGCCAATTGCTTCCTTCATAATGTCAAAAGCCTGTTGAGGTGAACTGGCTCTCAGGAATGTCTCAAAAAATGTTTGCAGCTGTGAACAAAGTAAAGGATTCACGTGTTAAAACAATAGCCTCAGTTTGTCTATCATTTTCAAGGTGACCAATTTGAAGGATTGTTCTAGGTTATCTCTACTTGTCACACCCAAACCCCACCCTCACCTAATCAGTAAGTTTGGTAATCTAAGATACAGGTATATTGAAAGAGAAAGGTTTAAATGTCTTGTAATTTAAATTTCTTTAGAAATGCCTACTCCATTTATTTTCCTCATTTCACAGCATCTAATCGTGGAAAATGCAAGTCTTGTCATCAGAACTCCAAAGTTTCATTTGTAACTCTACTAACTAGGTGAGCTGGGCTTGCCACCCACTGCTCAGAATCTTTGTGTCCTCTTTAAATTGGGATTAATATCTACCAACAAGAGAGATGTGAAGCCAAATTAGAAGAAAATGTATTTGAAAGTCATGTTAAAGTATGAAATTCAAATGTTAGTTTTTTATTATTATCAATTTTGGGGGCATATTAGAACAAAAATAAATATATCAAAGTTGCTTCTTCCTCATGCCATTATTCTGTGCCAGATCTAGCCAACCAGAGAAGACTCTGAGAGAATCCCAGTGTCCTGTTAATGTTTTAATTCTTAATTATTTCATGTGATAGGGCAGTATTACAAAAAAGGGGGAATGAAGCTCAATTGTGTCATCTTAAAAACACAATTGTTAGTATCACAAATAGCTGTTTTTATTTGCTTAAATATTAAAATGACAAAAACAAAACTACCTCTTGAGGATGCTTCATATCAAAGTTCAAGTGAATATTTTTTAAAAATATAAAACAAATCTCATATTGATTCATAAACTTTCTCTGGATAAACATACTCTTTTAAAGATGAAGAACAAAAAATATTTTTTGAAAAAACATGCAGCAGGTATTCTATTAATGTTTTTTGGAAAAACAGACTAAATCTATCCAGACTACACAGGATTGCAAAGTGAAAAACTTTTGTTGCTATGATAAAGAAGGACAAATATTGGCCTGGATTGCCTGTGGAAAAACGGTAAATGTGTCTTCTCAATGCATAAGCAAAATTCCCCCAAGATAAACAAATACTGGCTTCATAAACTTTCCAGTTGAAAACAGAAACCTAATAAGATTACACATAGAGACCCTAAGAATGCGTCATTAGTATTTGGCAATTGGGATGTTCTTCCATTTTACTAAGGAAAATAAATGTAATAATTGTATGATTGAAAGAAAACAAATTATTGCTAACACTAAAAATGTTAACACCCTTGATTCAAAGCAGAGTAACATTATGTTTTTCCAAGTAAAAGTAACTCATTATATTTCATTCCTTTCACCATATTATGTAGAAAGGTTTGTGTGTGACATTGTTGCATTTTTCTATTTCAATGTTACCTGAATATCACAGAGGTTAAGGTTAATAATATATGAAAGTTGGAAATGTCTATGTAGCATATGAGATAAGATAAATTATAAGATTTTATCTCCATGAGGAAGAATAATTAGCAAATTAATGTCTTAGGGTTGCACTTACTTCTCTAAAATGAAAATGATTATTTCTTAATTTCTTAATGTAGCAGTGAGCATTTAAATATGGGATGCCATTCAATTCAACTTTTAGAGAACTGTAGCCTTTAGAAAGCCCTGTGTTCTGTGCTTTGGGAGACAAGTTGCATAGTACATAGGTATTACCTCTACAGACTCTAGAGGTAAAAAGGTCCAGGTTCAACTTTGGTTTTGTGCCAAAGTTGTGAGACTTTGTGGGATTAATAACAGTGCCTACTTTATAGAGGTATCCTTGAGATTAAATGACAGAATGTACATAAGGAATTCCACCACCCAGCACATCTGTATTCAGTACATGTCAGCTCCTTTTATTTTCTATTAATTAAAACAAGACAGCCGGGCATGGTGGCTCACGCCTATAATCCCAGCACTTTGGGAGGCCAAGGCGGGTGGATCACCTGAGATCAGGAGTTCGAGACCAGCCTGGCCAACATGATGAAACCCCATCTCTACTAAAAATACAAAAATTAGCTGGGAATGGTGGCACACATCTGTAATCCCAGCTACTTGGGAGGCTGAGGCAGGAGAATCACTTGAACCAGGGAGGCAGATGCTGTAGTGATCCGAGATCACACCAATGCACTGCAGCCTGGGTGACAGAGCGAGACTCTGTCTCAAAAAAAAAAAAAAAAAAATCCAGATGAGTGTGATTTCTTCTTTTTAATTCATTCAGTATAGTGGCAAGCAAACTACATATGCTAGAAATTAAAGTAGAATCACGCGAGTGCTTCATATGAATTTTTAAAAAATCATAAACTTTCAAAGTCTCCAAAAGAAGGCACAACTTTTATCAGTTCTTGTAACTAACTCACTTAGACTAACTAAGTGAACCACTTTTTTGAGTGTCCGGTTACACTGCAATTTGTTACTCTAATTGTATTTCCTTGGTCAAATTACATGAGTTCTGTGAGTCTCAGTGCAGAATGACAGAACTATGCTCAATGATCTCATGAGACAATGACAAATCTGAAATTATTTGATGTTAATTCCATTCAAATGCCACCAGAACCTGAACAATTTCACCCATGCACTTTCTTAACTCACAAATACCTGAAGGAGCACTTTCACCTTTCCTCCTAATTTAAAACAGTCAAGCCATTAACTCAAATATTAAGGAGACTTCTTCCTCTCCTTATCAACACTTCCAATCAATGTTTTTCAATTAAATAAATGTGAGAATATAAGTTCGCAAGGAAATCAGTATATTGGCAATAAAATAAATATGAATAAAAGAACATCTTGTAACTTTTAACATGACATGAAACTATTTTATAAACTATAAATTTTCTTCCTTCAGTGTAAATTTTAGTGCAAAATAAATTATATAGAAAATGACCTCATAAGATCATGGTCGTAAAACCAGTCAGCTAATGCATCATCATTTGTTTGTACCTGTGTAAAATTCAAGCAATAACTAGTAAGGTATTTACATTTTTACAACATTGATCCATTCAAGCAACTTATTCAGATACAAGTGGATGGACTTAAATTTTCAATTAATTAAAAATGGAAGGACAAGAGCAACAGAATGCACTTAAAAGTATATAGAAAAACTTGGATCATGTCTGATATCTTTCCCAAGGTGTCCTTGTTATCTACTTCATTCCACCACATATTTTACAACTCCTCCCATGTTATGTTCTGGGTTCCGCCTCATTATTTCTCTCCATCCTCCCATAAGACCTTGCTTGAGTGAATTGATCTCAATGTCAACACATGTCATTTGTTCTGTGTTAAACTTGCCAACCTTCTTGTCTGCTCTTTCTGCTAGACTGTGAGTTTTTTTGTTTTTTTTTTTTTTTTTTTTTAGGTCAGGAACTGTCCTATTTTATCTTCTGGATTTCAGTGCCTAATGCTAAGTAGGTATTCAGTAAATACTGTTGAATAAACAAACCTATGACATTACAGAAACCACAGATACCTTGATAAGAGAAACACCTTACTGTAGTTTCTGGGTAACATCACTTTCCTCAGGACGGCATGCTTATCTCTTGCTCCCATCTCATGAGAGAGAGAGAATATAAATTTTTCTGGTGTCTTGTAATAAAACCTTTGAAGAATAGAAGCCTACAGCTGTTTGAGAGAATTTTAGAGATAAGAAAATTTAATCTATGAGTTAGAATGGAGGATGAAAGATTTACTAATATTAGGGTTTTTCAAAGTAATGTTCTTGAATGAGAAACCGGAGCAGAATGTCATGTTTAACAGCACTGTACCGTACTAAAGTATACCAGGGTTTCTCTTGATGTTACTATGTGTCAAAGAACTTTTCATCTTCTCAGATTAAAGAATATTGGTACTTAAGTCATATCAGGGAATGTTGGTACTTAAGGTCATTTTGCACCAGCATCATATTAAAAAGATGCTCGATATCACTAATCATTAGGGAAATGCAAATTAGAACCACAGTGAGATATTACTTCACACCCATTAGGATGGTGACTAACAAAAACAAAACAGAAAATAATCATTGGTGAGGATATTAAGAGACTGGAATCCTTGTGCTTTGATGGTGGAAAAGTAACATGGTGCAGCCACTTGAATAGCAATTTGGTGGTTCCTCAAAAAATTACAAATAGAACTACCATACAATCCAGCAATTCCACTTCTGGGTATACAGTCAGCATAACTGAAAGCAGGTCTCAAAGACATATTTACACACCCATGTTCATAATAGCATTATTGACATTTGAAGGCAACCCAAACGTGCATCAGTAGATGAAGGGATAAACAAAATGTAGTATATGCCTACAACAAATATTATTCAGCCTTAAAAAGGAAGGAAATTGTGACACATGCTACAACATGAATGACCCTTGACAATATTCGCTAAGTGAAATAATCCAGTCATGAAGACACTGGATTATTCCACTTATGTGAGGTATCTAGAGTAGTCAAATGTATAAAAACAGAAAGTAAAATGTGGTTGCTGGGGGCTGGGAGGAGGTGGAAATGGGGACATGTTTACTGGGTATATAATTTCAGTTGTGCAAAAAGTTCTAGAGATTGGTTGCACAGTAGTGTAAAAATACTTAACGCTACTAAAGTATACACTTAGAAAGGATTATGATACATTTCACGTTACATGTATATGACTACAATTCAAACTTTTAAAAATAACTTAATAGAGACTGTGTTAGCCAGGATGGTCTCGATCTCCTGACCTCGTGATCCGCCCGCCTCGGCCTCCCAAAGTGCTGGGATTACAGGCATGAGCCACCGCGCCCGGCCAAAACTCTTAAAATGAATCTGAAGTAACCCAAATACCTCAGAATTTCATCCTAATATTTTTATATATGAAAATTTTGGGGGCCGGGCGCAGTGGCTCACTTCTGTAATCTCAACACTTTGGGAGGCCGAAGCGGGTGGATCACGAGGTCAGGAGTTGGAGATTAGCCTGACCAACATGGTGAAACCCCGTTTCTACTAAGGCAAGAGAATCACTTGAACCCGGGAGGCGGAGCTTGCAGTGAGTCAAGATTTTGCCACTGCCCTCCAGCCTGAGAGACAGCGAGACTCCATCTCAAAAAAAAAAAATATCTTTTTTAGATTGTCCTATATTTCGCAATAGAAAAAAAGTTTGCAAATTTAAACTTTAGAATTTCAGTGACCGTATGGCTCTAAGTTAAAAAAAAAAAAGTTCTTCCAAATAGTTTAAATTATTGGTCATACATAATTAGTCAGAACAAGAGAAATACATTACAAATCATATTAAATAATTTATAGAATAAAAAGTAAAATTGTATTGGAAATACAGCTCTGATTTGTCTGAATATATGTCCCCACCAAATATCATGTTGAATTGTAATCCTCAGTGTTGCAGGTGGGGCGTGTTGAGAAGTGTTTGGGTCATGGGGGCGGATCCCTCGTGGCTTGGTGCTGTTCTTGTCATTGTGAATGAGTTCTCAGGAGATCTAGTTTTTAAAGTGCGATGCCTCCCGGCCATCCCCTCTTGCTACTGTTTTCACCATGTGAGATGCCTGGTCCTCCTTTGCCTTCTCTTATCAGTAAAAGCTTCTTGTGGCCTCTCCAGAAGCTGAGCAGATGCCTGCACCATACTTCCTGTACAACCTGCAGGACGGTGAGCCAATTAAACCTCTTTTCTTTATAAACTACACAGTCTCAGATACTCACAGCAACACAAGAATGACCTAATGCAATCTCTCAGATAGATATGGTTTTTTTTTTCTTTCTCTCTCTGTTTTTTTTTTTTTTTTAGACAGAGTCTTGCTCTGTAGCCAGGCTGGAGTACAGTGGTGTGATCTCAGCTCACTGCAACCTCTGACTCCCTGGTTCAAGTGATTCTCCTGCCTCAGCCTCCCAAGTAGCCGGGATTACAGGCATGCACCACCATGCCCAGCTAATTTTTGTATTTTCAGTAGAGACAGGTTTCACCATGTTGGCCAGGCTGTTCTCGAACTCCTGACCTCATGATCCACCTGCCTCAGCCTCCCAAAGTGCTGGGATTACAGGTTTGAGCCACCGCGCCCAGCCGGTTTCTTTTTATTCAATTAATTCATATATCCATTAAAAGAATGCCACTTAATGCTAGAACAAGAAGAGTTCAGCATCAGTATTAATATTTTAAATATAAGAACGAAGAAAATTTGTTCACATAAATACACAGACGTGGATGGAAGGGTTTAGTTATAGCAACATGGCTCAGTTCTTTCAACTCCCTCCAAGGTATATGTTAAAAATCACATAGTGGTTTATCATGAAATATTCAATCTTGTTAAAAACAAAGAACTGAAAGCAACCTGAATTGTGAAGGATTTGTTACCTAGTGATTGGCATCCTTCACTTGCTCTAAAGAACAACATAGTTAAATTTTCTCTTTTTTTTTTTTTGGCAAATGTTTTTTCACCTTTGAGTAACCATCATTATAATATCAGAGCTAGCAAAAGCTGGTCTTTCTTCTGAAGAGCAGAAGGATGTATAAAAAGAATGGGAAAGAACAACCTGCTTTAGAGGTATCTTTTCAGCAAAATCAAACTTTAGAAAGTTTGAATGTATGATCCGTATGAAAGGTGAAGTTCTGGGCAGTGACTCTCTCAAAATTGTCCATGTGCCTCTGAGCCCCTTGGGGAGTCATCAGGGATCCCCAAAGGCATATGACACCCAGCTCTGGATATGGCTGCCTGCCTCCACTCCAAAATGCATCTGAGAGAGCTGTGGCCAAAAATGAAGTGCTAGTGAACATCCTGGACCCTTGGAAAAGGAAGGTGATTTAGAAGGAAAAAAATCAGATTTTTAACAATAGAAGAAAAAGAGAAAAAAAGATTAGAGAAATGGAGAAAAATGACTAAATTACAAACCTAAGTAGTGATATAATTTTTTAATTTAATGTACATGTTGTATTTGAATATAATTTGGCCAGGTGTGGTGGCTCATGCCTGTAATCCCAGCACTTTGGGAGGCCGAGGCAGGTGGATCACCTGAGGTCATTAGTTCAAGACAAGCCTAGCCAATATGGCAAAACCCCGTCTCAACTAAAAATACAAAAAGTAGCCCGGCATGGTGGTACTCATCTGTAATCCCAGCTACTCGGGAGGCTGAGGCGGGAGAATCATTTGAATTTGGGAGGCAGAGGTTGCAGTGAGCTGAGATCATGCCACTGCACTCCAGCCTGGGTGACAGAGCGAGACTCCATCTCAAACATATATATATATATTTATATATATATATATATATATAATGTGTATATATATATAAAATGTGTGTATATATGTGTGTGTATATACATATAATGTGTGTATATATATGTGTGTGTGTATATATATGTGTGTGTGTGTGTATATATATATATATAGAGAGAGAGAGAGAGAGAGAGTTTCTATGTTGTATTTAATAATAATCACTACCCTTAGCCAAGCTGACACTATGTGGCAGACACTGTGCATTTTACATGCACTGCTTTGTTTGTATTCATAGCAATGCTATGAAGATGGTACTCATCATTCTCATTTTATAGATGAAGAAACTTGGGGTTAAGAATGCAAGGTACACGCCTAAGGTTATACAGCTGGGGGCAACCAACATGGGTATTGAAGCCAATCTGCTTTGCTACAAAGCCCCAGCATTACTTCTGCCTTTGTGTTTTTGATCATATTAGGTTTAGGACTATGGATGGACCCTGAAATCCAGAAGAATGAATCATCTGTATTTTTACTTTCATCTAAAACATGTTCAAAACTGTCACAATTCTCAAGCACATGCCTTTACACCCACACAATTAACAACTCAACAACTTGAGAATTTATGTAGCCTAATTACCTTTTGGAAAAACTAAGAATATTTCTTTGTAACTTAAATCAAATTGCCTAGATCAAGAAAAAAATTCATGTTAACTAAAATGATTTAAGAATATAAATACTCTCATCATTTGTTTTAGTTCACTGAAAATTGGCTTGCTTTAGTGTAAATCACAGAAAACCAAATTGGCTGAACCTAAATTAGGATACTTTTACTCATTCCTTGGAATTATATTAAAAACTCCAAAATTTAAATAAGTTTTCTGTTTCCAGTGACATCTATAATTTTACTCATTCGTACTTCTTAACAGCCCTAAACTTTATAGCATATATTAAACTTGGAAATTCAGAATGTAGATTCTATACAATTTAATCAGTTTCATAGCTGAAAACTTTAAACTCTCCCACAAGCATATAAGGGAATTGTTCAGAAGCAGAGTACAGAAATACAAAAGGCTGTGAATAGAATAAAAATTTAATTATTTGCTTTGAATGATGGACCCTTGATTGCATTATATTCAACCTTCTTAGAAAACTGGCAGGTTTTCTTTATTATCCCTTCTGGAATTTCTCAGTGGGATATAAAGGAGCAGAGAGATTTAACAGCAAAGAGCAAAAGCTAAAGTTGTAAAGATTTTATCATTGAACTCTCTACGTATATGCCTGCTCATTTTCTTTATATGAATGCCATTGTTCGAGCAGGTCACAACTATTTCTATTAAAGTTAAAACCAAGCCTTCTTTGAACTTCCAATAATATAAGGTCTGACAGCTTGTTTGAAAACAATCCATCTTTTATTAATTACCTTGACTAGAAGATGGCATTGA
The DNA here is from genome assembly GCF_000001405.40 of Homo sapiens. NCBI lineage: Eukaryota > Metazoa > Chordata > Mammalia > Primates > Hominidae > Homo > Homo sapiens. Next base: position 121,115,693 of record NC_000007.14, on the reverse strand, counting down.
AATCCGGTAATATCTGTACTAAGTAATATTTGTTACAGGCAGTACAAAAATTTGCAAATAAGGATTCATTTGGCAGAAAGATACCTATCTCATATCTCTAAATACTCTCAAATGAGTAAGAAAGTAAAAAGGGAAAATGTTTTCAATTTATATTCTGGATATTTTATGCAGGGTATCTATTTTAGGTCTTATTAAGTTTCCTGGTCAATCACAAAAGAAAAGGAAATGTATTCATTATAAAAAAAATCAGTTCTGGTTGTACAATAAAGAACATGATAGAGCAATTTGCCCTAACTTTTAAGTGGCTGTAAAGTCTTTTGAATCCATAGGAAATTTATGACAGCTCTCTGCTGTTTTCTCACACCTTTCTCATGTCAGTTACCTTACACCTCTCTCACACCAAACAATATTTCATTCTTTTACATGGGCTATTTTCAATTATGCTTAATTATGCATAATTTAAAAGTTCATGATTTAGCATCTGGTCAAATATAATGCTAGATAGCCCAAATCCATGTCATCTCCATGTGCCCTGAGTACTGACTACTGACTTCCCTGCCCTCAATTATTTTTTCCATTGCCACCAGTCATCATCTTTATGAAGGCCAGTTCCAATCATGTCAGTCCCCTGCTCATAAAGAACAGAAGTCCCCAACATTTACAAAAGGATATGAATCAATTGTAGCTGAACTTATCTTGAACACTCCAAGTCAGCATATAAAACCATAAGGTGTTAATTCATTCACGCCTGAAGGACATAACAATTAATCAACAGACGATTATGCATGCGCATACGTTTATGCACACAGTAAACAGTAGAAGTACCTTTATCCTTTTTTACTACAAAAGTGCATTATTTTTATATGAGAACTCAAAAAGTGATACACCCAATTCTTAAACTTTTTTTAAAAAATAAAAAAGAATTAAACCTGTATTCCTTTGTCAATCTTTTGACATATGGCCAAGGCCTTTGACTATGGGTGAACTAATTGGAATTGCAAGTCATCTAACTTACAGAAACTTTACCCATAGGCATGGACTTAATTGCAATTAGACCAAGAACACAAAGACACTTGCAAAGAAATCCCAGGGCAGAATCATTCTAGGTTTTACAGCTTCCCCCTAAATTTTGAAAGTTTTTATACCCACATTTAATTCATCTGAAATGTTTTAACTCAATTGTCCTATATTGATGATGTTATAAATATTCAGCCTGCTTTTACAGAAGCAAGTCTGTCTCTTTTTGCACTTACAGTTCATCAGTTCATGAAGGTAGGCATAGAACTCAAGGGTGTAAGGGACAAACTTGAAGGTAGCATCCTTGCCTCAGGCATTGAGCTCTTGGGTTCAGCAGTCAATAAGCTTTATGGGGGGAATGCAGAGCAGTACTATAAGCTGTCAGTGGTAACTAAGAGAGATTTTAGTCACTGGAGATCTGAGTCCCAATCCTAACCACATTTATTAGTTCTGTCGTCTTCACTAAATCATGAATCTGTACTTCCTCATCCATAGAGTGGATATAAACCTCAATCTATCTCCTGGGTTTCTTAAAAGTTTCAAATAAGGCCGGGCGTGGTGGCTCATGCCTGTAATCCCAGCACTTTGGGAGGCTGAGGCAGGTGGATCACGAGGTCAGGAGGTCGAGACCATTCTGGCTAACATGGTGAAAGGCCGTCTCTACAAAAAAATACAAAAAACTTTGCCAGGCATGGTGGTGCGCATCTATAGTCCTGGCTACTCAGGAGGCTGAGGCAAGAGAATCACTTGAACATAGGAGGTGGAGGTTGCAGTGAGCCGAGATCGTGCAACTGCACTCAAGCCTGGGCGACAGAAAGAGGTTCTGTCTCAAAGAAAAAAAAAAAGTTTCAAATAAGACTATATCTGAGAATACATTCAGAAGTGTAAAATGACAGTAGTGTCACTTTACATTTTACATTCCATGAAATTCAAGCTCTTCAGGTTTCGTCTCCAGTATATCTTCATCTGGTCTAACCTACTCCACAAATCCTGTGTCTCTTTCTCTTCCTTCCTTCCTTCCCCATCCCTCTCACCTCAGTCCACCCTAGGATTCTCCCTTCTCTTAAGGACATTCAAATTCTGGCCAAATAAGGCAGTTTATAGTTCCAAGACTATAACCTATGTTTTCACCTGCATGATTCATGCTGTCTTGGCAAAGCAAATGTAAACATCCCTCTTCATTTTTAAAGAAACCCTACTCATTCTTCCAAGCCCAGCTAAAATACCATCCATTCTATGAAACCTATTCACTTTCTCCAGCCTGAAAAATTCTCTCCTACTCTTCACTGTCTCTGCAACTCTGAGTCATGCCTTGCATTCTGCCCTGTATTAGAGTTATTTATAAATATATAACTCTCCCCCACTGGAGGGTTCTTTGAGAGCAAGAACCAGTATTTCTCTTTGAGTCTTTCTTCACATGGCCCAGCACATAGTAGGGATTTCCAAACAGTTCTGGAGTACAACTGAGTTGAATTAGCTGTGAATGATTACTGAAATATTCAATATTGCTTTTCCTTGAGTTGTTTTGGCTCCATGATCATATGAACAAACTTATATATGCAAGAAGATATAGATTAAATGCATGAATTTTCAACCTATTTATTGTGGGTGAAATTATACTGTTTCTATACCTTACTTAATGAAGGACATATAACCATTATAAACTTACTTCTCTTTTAGTCGAGAAGTCATCAGTCAAGATACTCGTCCCCACTTCCCACTTCTCTTGTTTTCCCTTGCCCCCAATTTAAATATTTCCCTATTCTCACATTTAAATTACATCCTGCCAAACCTGCTGGTAATCTGCCATAACATGAAAGTATTTCATTAGTGTGGCAGTTTGCAAAAAAATGGTCACAAATTCTTCCTATCCCAGTATGCACACCCCTTCGCAGTGTGACTTTGCAGCTTCTCACATCCAGTGGTGGAGTCTATTTTTTCACCCCTTTAATCTTGGCTTATTCATGTGATGTTCTTTGGCCAATGAGATATTTAGCAAATGTGATGTAAACTCCTTTTGCTTTTTAGGACTTCTGTAACAAATTGCTACAAACGTCACAATTTAAAACTAGAGAAATTTATTCTCTTGCAGTTTTAGAGGCTAGAAGTCCAAAAGTCAAGATGTCCACATGGCCACGTTCCCTCTTAAAGCTGTTAGGGACAATTCATTCGTTGCCTCTTTCCGCTTCTGGTTGTTGGCATTCCTTGGCTTGTGGGTGCAAAACTCTACTGTCTGTCTTCATCTTCACATGAGTGAAGATGTGAAGATGTATCTTCTCCTTTGTGTGTCTTCTCTTCTGTGTCAAATCTCTCTCTGACTTTCTCTTATAATGACATGCACAGGGCCTATCTGGATAATTTAGGAAGATCTCATGTTGATATCTTTAATTTAATTACACCTGCCAAGGCCCTTTGTCCAAACAAGATAATATTCACTGGTTCTGGAGGTAAGGATATGGACATATCCTTATGGGGACAGCCATTCGATCTACTATACAAGCAAAAACTTTGAAAGGACTTGGCCTTTTCAAGTGGCTTTGTTCTCTTGCAATTCTTAAGAATCCTGAAACTGCCACTGTGTAGCGGAACATCAGGTGGACTACAAGACGATGACAGGCACATGGCCAAGTCATCCCAGTGGCCCTAGCTGATACCCAGCCAATATCTAGGAGCGTGAGTGAAGGCAGGCTAGACTACCCAGCCTCGCTTAGCCACCATCTGCCTATAGAGATGAGCAGAGCTGGTCCAGACAATTTATAGAACCATGAGAAATAATAAATGTTTATTTGAAGTCACTAAGTTTGGAGATGATTTGCTCTGCAAAAGCTGACTGATTCAATTTGCCTTTTATCATTGTTTAAATTTTGTCTTCATTTCTCCTCTTTTTGAAATGGAGCCCGCATCTCCTTCTCACACCTCTCATATGGAGAAGGTGATCTAAGAACCTCATGTGTTTTTTCTTTTTTATTTTCAGTGCTTAGAATGCAACTTAAGCCTTGCTGATTCTGATTGAGTTATTTGTTTCAAACTTCTCTAACTTCACTCTGGCTTCCATCCCAAACATTGAATAGATTGAACCCTTTTTAGGGTGAGCATTTTCCTAAGCATGTTCTCACCTTCTTATCTGAATACATCACACTAGACCACTCTACTATCCTTCAAAAGATTAGACTTGTGATTTGAGGCACCATCTATTTGAAAATAACCCAATTTTATGGTGGCTGAGAAACAGGCACCCCTGCCAAGGCTGTTTTTATAGCAATGGGTACCTGGAGCTGTGGGAACCTCCCTGTCACACCAGGATGGGCAAATAGCTACAGTTATTCTTCTATTCATTTAGAAGTGGTAGGATACTTCTGTTGGAAATAGGGGTTACAGTGACTGGGGAGAAGAAAGGCAGAGAGAGGAAGTGAATGGAAAAAGAATCACCAAATTGTCCAGGAGAAAAATTTTCTGGTAGGGCCTTCAGTCAGGTTACAGAGCAACCAAGGGCTGAGAAGAGGTAGATGAGTAAGAACCAGCCTCAACAGGTAAGCTGCTGTATGAACAGGAACCTGTGTGCCTCTCCACCTCCTCATTTCACATTTCTCTTTCCCATTCCTCCTCCTGACTGGTTGCTCCCCCATCTGATCTCTCAGTCAATGGCACCACCATTCAAATAATGGCTGAAGAGTCATCCTTGAACCCTCTCTCTTTAGCCTCTCACACCCCAACACCAATTCTTGTTTCTACCTTCAAAACGTATCCACATTTCTCCTTTTTTAGACTACCATATCTCACCAACCTAGATCAAGCCACCATGCTCCTCATCTGGACCCCTGAATGGCCTTGCAACTGGTTTCTCTGCCTCTGTTCACAATTCTCTTCAATCTGTTCTCCACAAAGCAGCAGAATGGGCTTAAAAAGTAAATCAGATTATGATAGCCTCCTGTTCACTATCTTTTAGAGGCATCCCTTTGCCCATAGGGAAAAAATTCAATTTCTTACCTTTCCTGACTCCTGTGTGATTGGGCTCTTGCCTTTCTCTCAATCTCTCTACCACTCACCCTGTGTTCAACATGTTACACAGTCAGTGGTTGTGGCATTCTCTGAATATGTGAAGACTCTCCTACCTTTGGAATTGTCCTTTTGCTGGGAGTATTTTACTGTCATCTCTTGAAATGGCACTTAGTCTCATCACAGAATTATAGCTCAGATATCACCTATTCAGGGCAATCTTTCTACCTCTCATAAAGTGGGCAGACCAGTTAGTTCCTAGTCAACATCCATCCTGTTCATTTCATTCTTAGATATATTAAATACCTGTAACTATCTGAATTTCTTTATATGTGTATAATTAATTATCTGTTTTTCATCTGTCATTCCATACAAGAATAAACTTTACAAAGGCAGGGACTTTGCCTTGTTTCCTGCTATGCTACTGGAGCCCAACATAACATCTAGCATATAAGAGGTAGCCGGTAAATACTTGTAGCAGGAATCAAAAGGCTAATTTAACTCATAGGAAAACCATCCCTATTTTATAGACATGGAAAGTGGTCCATAGATGTAAGCAGATTTGTCTAAGGTCATAGAGTTTGTACAAGGACTTTCTTACTGCACACCGATCCCCAGACCTGTAGAAGTATGGCTTGGGATTTTTCTTTTCTTTCCTGCATATCCAGTGCTATAGATCTAATGCTGGTGATTTATTTCTCTCTCCTTTAAAGTAAAAATGCAATTGGATATTTGCTTATTACTCAGCCTGAAAGGATGTAATCATCGTCCTATTCATGTTGTAAAATCACATTTCTTTAACAGTAACTCCTTGAAGGCATGAAAATGAAATATATTTCCTTAGCATAATGTTTTTCTTCTGTGACTTCTGAGTTTAAAGTAATGATTTCTCTGTGTGTGATTTGAACAAATATTCTTCATGTAGATAATCTGAGTAATCAAGCACATAGAAAAATTCTTATACCTTTCAAATATATCTGAAAAAATTTCTAGTAGAAGTTATTCAGAAGTTATTCTACTAGAAATTTCTACCAAAGCATCAGTTTGGAACAGTATGTTTTTTAAACAGATTGATGAGGCTATGGTACCTGGAACTGTTAGATTCCGGAAAACTAGAGACCAAATAAGAAGAAGCTGATGTAGAGGGGAAACATAGTGCATATGAATACGGATATATATGTAAATAAAGGGATGCTTGGAATTTCCTCTCCTGTTTGAAGTCCCTTTCTCTAAATTTTAAAGACTTGCTTCATCGAGCTTCTAAGAACTGCTTTTACAGGCTAGGAATAGGGAGTGAAAGGACAAATTGTTTTGAGACAAAGAAGACAGAGTGATGTGTATAGGAATGCTCTGTGTCAGCCAGTGACGCAATGAGAGAATGACCGCCCTATAGGCAGACGCTCCATAGAGATCTAACAAAAGCAATGAAATACGTCTTTATGTTGCAGAAGGTAGAGAATACAAAATATATCTGAAGAGTCCTGGGAGAGAATCCATTTCTGCTGCCTCAGTAGCACTCAGAGAAATAAAACACAAATTTTCAGTTCTATATCATAATATCAGGTCATTTAGATAATTTAAAGGAATTCCAGTTAACAGCAGATTTGAGGCTCAGGTTGTAATCAAATAGAAGTAACACAAAAGATTCATGGGTACAGTAGTGCAGTCTTACATGTTAAGTATAAAATGCCAGCTCTAACTGTACAGTAATTTTAAAACTGGTATTGTGTAGTAAGTTTAAAACTATGTGTTGCAAAATCTTTTTTGTTGTTGTTGTTTTTCCAAGGAAAAAAGTTTAGGTCTTAATTTTTGGGCAATGGGACAGGGTGGTGTTTTTGAGCTTGTGGTGACTGGCTTAGACTAGAGTTTTATGGAAATCAGTCCAACATCCCTGACATATTTTGTATGATCTACACATAAGACAGTATAGCATGTTTATAAGTCATTTCTTCTAAGTCAGTATTCCATATTCCATAAAAATATCCTATATTTGTGTACTTTGCATATTTATACCACTCTCAAGTAAATTCCTTGAGGAGAAAGAGCTCTAGAAAATATCATTGAATTTCCTTATATGAAAAAAACATTACAAAATGTACATTTCTTCACTTAAATGTATACTCACAAGTTTATGACTAATAGGCTTAACTTTTCCATAGAAAAAAATTAAGATTATTATATTTTATGATATGAATTTGAGCTGGAAGAATGAATTTTCTTAACATATAGTCATCTGAGGGATATCATTCTTTAATAGCACTGCATATTAAATTTTACAAAGTGTTCTTAAGTGAAAAAACAATGTCCAGTGGCTGGCAAATGCTGAAATCATTCCAAATAATTGTGTGGCCTAGGTAATTTAAATTGTAGTGAGGAATTATCATCATTCGCAATCTACTTAAAAGCACAGCTTTCTTACTGTAAGTATGGGTTATAAAATAACTTTTTTAAAATAAATATGTTTAATCCAATGGGGGAAAAATGCTCCATGCTTTGCTAAGCATTTTTGCCTTTTTTCCTCTTGCCATTGGACAGCTCAGACTATTTGTACAATAGCAAAAAAGACCACTAGGGGGCAATACAGTAATTGTTTTGCTCCATCTCACTGCTATGTAGGCTTCCTTAGTGAAAAAAGATTGCTGTTTCTTCTAAATTTGAAACCACATTTTAATATATGGAAGGAAAAAGGCTGTATTTCATTTTAAACTTACAATGAATAAATCACATAAGACAAATGCAAGTCAGATTTTCTCCTGAAGGGAGCAAAAGCCTGTCTTCCTTCAGCAGACAAATCAGTTTTACCTAGTTGGCACATTTGAGGATATTTTATATTTAGAATTTGTCAGCCTTTGAGACAGATCTCAAGGAATAAAGGATATTGTTAATAAAAATCTCAAAAATGATATACATTTAATAAGTTTCAAAACGTACTGGTAAAAACTTACTTTTTTTCTATACCCAAAGTAAAAGTGTAAAAATCATTTAACTTCCCCACTGAGTAAATATTCTGTAATAAACTTAAGCATTAAAGCGATTAATTTTTGGAGACAATTACTGCCATTATTTTCACTGTTATTACTTTGCACCCACATACCACTTTGTAAAGGAGTTATTTTTATTACTAATTATTCTTTTCAGCAATTTGATGAGTGGAGTCTCTATTCTAATTCATTTCTCTCTCCCTGAATCGGCTGAATATTAGCTACTATGCCAGGCACTGAAGATTTGTTTCCTACATAAATAAAGAATAAGCAAACTCTCTTCTTTTAAGGATTTCAAAAAGATTTAGGCAAGTAGATTTTTCCTCTTGGTTTTTGTTCTCCTGTTTGCTGACTTCATGTGATTTTTTCCTTCCAATATATTTTCCTGTCATCAGAAGATATTTAACATTACCACAGTGATGAAAAAGTTAAGCCTTGTTGTTAAAGTCTTAGGGATAAAGATTTATAAAATTAAATTCAATAACTCTCTAGGTGTCTGTACAGAAATGAAAACATTTAGGAAGATTGCAGGGAGTTTTGCCTTAATTCATGGTCCATTTCCCAAAGATCCATCTTAACAATCCTTTCTTGCATGAGGGTAGTGAAGAAAGGGAATACAGCTGTTCTGTCTTCGAACATCTCTACGGCTTAGCTGGCTCATCTATTAAAGAAATAATAAGAAACTAAAAAATTAAGATGGTGCTGCTCTCTATGGACGCTTAAAGTGCTTTGAAAGATTGCTTACACTAGACCTCTTTTCCCAGGCTTGGTTTTTACTCTAAACACTTGTTTATTTTATAAACTTGTTATCGGCAAGGTGTAACAGAAATCAGAGTGACATTACTGTGCTGGGCAACGGCAGAAAGAGGAAGAGCCCGCAGAGATTAATTTTTAAGAGCTTCTGTGAAGTTCACGGGCAATACACTTCCAGGATCCAGTTCAGAGAAACAACACTTGCTCTTTTCAAGTCCATAACTGGGTCCCATCCTCATCCCAGCATATACCTTCCCTTGATGGCTCCAGGGAGAAGCAGGCTGTGAACAGGACAGGTGAAGGGGAGGAGCTGAGAAGGGAAACATACATTCTATCCTCCAAAGTACTATTGAGGAACTTTTCCATCTTTCAAGCATCCAGAAGGAGGGAAGAAGGAATGAACTTACCTCACCTGATTTCACACTGAAATCCCTGAGTATTAGCTTACCTCCATTTTTCTGGATATATAATTAACACTTGCCTACTGATTTTCTAGTATTAAAGGCAATAATAATTAGCAAATTTATTCATTAGTGTTAGGTTTTACCTTTACACTGTCATAATACATTATATATATATATGTAGGCATATATACACATATATGTGTATACCTATATAAAGCATTATATAGCATCTACCTATATAAAGCATTATGTTAGTTAATTATATTTGCATATGTCTATGCGTTCATTACCCTAGTTCAGAAGGGAAAATATGCCTGAATTAACAATGATGGAATATGTAAATCCATAATACTATCTTCTGTTGTAGAACCTGCTCTTAAATCATATTTTCCCCAAATGGCAGTTTTTAATAAGTTATTATTAATGAGGTACCTTTAATTAAAATAAGGATGATAGACAACGATTCACTGATAAACATTTTTGAGCATCTGCCATGCGCCAGGAACTCTGTGAGGCTCTGGAAATGCAAACACATTGCTTGCCTTTTTGAGGCTTAGAGTCATCTGCTTAAGTTATCATTTTGGCCAGATAAAGATGATCATCATTAATGAATAGTTTTCTTTACATTTAGGATAATCATCCAAGTTCAGCCTTCAGAATTAACGAATGTACAAAATGACTTGACAAATCTTTTAATAGAACCAAGTTGGGAATGAAGGAATGAATGAATGAGTGAATGAATTGCTTTTTAAAAAGACACAAAGTTGCTATAAAGAGTATTAGTGCAATCTAACATCAATGTGGGCTGATTACTTTGCAGTTATTATAAAAGTTTTTAAAGTAAGTCAGCTTTGGTCACAAGTTTATTCAATTACATGCTGGTTATTTATAATTTCTATTTATATAAAATCATACTTTAAAATGAACACCCTGATGCAATTTTAAAATTTAATTCAAGCAAAAGTAGGTTAAGTAATACGTCAACTCTTTTTACAAACTCTCAGGAGAAGACTTTTATTCACATTCTTTCTACAGCTGACATAAATCTCCCGGGCCTAGCGAAGGGCCAGATGCTCAGTCAAAAGCCTTTTACAAGGTCTGCTTCGTAGCCTGCAGTTTTGGACATAAAATGAAGATCAGGGGAAGAACACTTCCTAAGGTTGAAAAACCATACTGTCACTTTATACTTTCTTCCAAAGACATTACTCATTTTTACCTTGGGAATATATAAGCAATCTCACCCAACATTATCAAAGGCAGTGCATAAATATTGACGACAAATGAGGCTAACTTCATCCCTACAACTGTGTCATATTTCCAAAATGAATAAGGGATATATGCATCTTTTTAAAAGGAATCTTGTACATAACACCATTCCTCTCTTTGCCACAGTTCTCCTCTGCCCTCTGTGCACATTTGCTGATTGTATTGATGTGAGAGGGAACTGCAAGCACTGGAGATGGAAGAATGGTCCCCTGAAGGCCAGTGCAGCGGTGGTAGAGAGCTGGTGATTTAGAACTTACAAATCTGACTTGAAAAAAGGCTACGGTATCCCAGATTTCCCTATCTCTATCAAAGTGGCCCTTATCCAGAAATTCAGATTATGACATCTGTCTATTGCATTTACTGGAAAACAAATGATCATTTGTATAATATTTACCTATATCATGTATATATCATTGCAAAGTAGAGTGGCTGGCTTATAGCAGTTAGGGATAAAGTAGACTCAGGCAATTTCTTCATGCAGTTAAAATTTTTTTAATGACCTTTGATTCAATTCAATCGAAGAGACATTTATAGGGAGCTGATTATATGCAAGGAATCATCTTCATATAACTTTATATCTGATGTCAAATATGGAATAGCAACAAATCTAACATCTTCAAATATGGGATGGCTGATCAAACAATGAATTAATTTATGTCTTGACTGGACAAAATAAGGCTTTGGACAAGCTTTTCTGCCAGAAGTCACAAATCTCTTCAGCGATACATTTTCATAAAAATAGTCAAATATGGTCAGAAGTACAAAGAATCTTCAGACATCATAAAAAGTTACAGATATTACAGTTGCCTCTCTGTTGGGTAACTTATTTTGTGATTTACAACGGATGAAGGGATGACTTGTGACTTTTTGCTCTAAGAACCGAATTTAAATTTATGACATTTCTTGCAGTTAATCTTTATGACCTGTGTTTTAAGACAGACATAGATGCATTTAACCAAAAGTTATAGTTAGAATATTTGTGAAAGAATTTTACTCGTGAATTTATAGATACAAACTGAAGTTTTATAATTAAGAGCTTTTTAAGGGAAGACATTTTAAAATAAAATATTTCTTAAAATTAGATTTATTATACTCATCAAGTAAATGATATTGTCTTAACAGCAACAAATAGAGTTGATTTAAAATCAGATCAAATGGTATAGTAAGCAAATATTACATTTGCGAATTTTTCCCTTTCAAAACTTCCTCTGATTTTAGGTTTGAACATCCTTGGGAAACATCTAACACTAAAATTTTTAAATATTTTATTATGTAGAAGGGCATTAAAAATAGTTTACAAAGCTTCTATTTTCCATTATTCCTCAAATTTGCATTTCTTGATTTTTTTTACTCTCTCCAAAGCTTTAACAGATAAAGTATCTCAGCAGAAGACCTAATTGGAAATAAATGAGCTCATAGTTATATCTGTTATTGCCTTCATACCTTCTTTAGCTGCCAGAATGTTCTATAAATGTTCACTGATAACTAGTTTAGTGGGCTTGCCTCATCACACAGTACATAAATCACTACTGATTTAACTAAGTCATTTGGGCTTTGAATTCAGTACTCAGTACACACACACGTGCACATACACACACACACACAAAATTATGTTTTGTGGAATTTAAGGACAGTGTTTAATAACATGCTGGTATAGCGTGGGTAGTTTTTAAAGTGGGTTTGGTTTTGTCCTCCACATTAGCAGTGAGAAGTTTCTGTGTATTTTTTCACATCTAAAAATACCAGTAGAAAGCAGTATTTCTGAGGATGGTTAAGTAATTTAACAGATGAGTTATAATCTATTTGTTTTAACTGAAATAACAAGTACATCAGTTGAAGGGTAAATAAATATCCTCTTGTTTTCTGAAACTTATCTGTATCATCAAGCGTAACTTTGAACTAGTAAGGAAACAATCACTTTCTCCACATTGACCCAGGAAGCTGCACTACCTCCCTCTGAGGAGATAACAGTATTGTCCAGAATAATCAGGCAAGATCTTGAAAAGATAAATCCCAAGGAGAGGATGAAAATGACAAGAACTGCATGCTTTCCTATGCTACAACCGCAGCTTGCATCTGTCTCACAGAAAAGACAAAAATATGAATAAGAAAGGAGATAGTGAATGAAGCATGAAAATCTAAAGAAAACCAGATCACAAGGAGATTTCTTTTTTCATTTATTTTCAGGAAATACATAAATAAAAACTATCATAAAAATTAGCCTGTTATTTGTATCAGGGTAGGGGGAGCGGCACTTACATACAAAGAGGAAAAATACTTTAAAAATTATTTAAAATACCTAAGAGCTTCAGTTTCCTGTTAAGATGATTCACTAGCCCAGGTGAAATGAGAATGAAGCAAGAATTTGATAACAAAGAAAAATAACAAACACCTCTTTGAAAGGGAGTCTAGAGCTATTGTGAACTGGTCTGACCAGTGGTAGCCACGGTCAGGGATAAGTGGAGTTGGGGGAGGGGAGTTGTTGGAGGCTATTTGAGAGGACAGGCTGAAGGAAAATATTTTCGTTTTCCTCCTAACTCTCCCCTGTCTTCCTCTAGGGCAATTATTGGTTGTTCCTTCCTTGTTAAGGATGCTAAGCCCAGGCCCAGGATTCAGATTGCTAAATTTCTTGGGAGAAAGGAGGAAAAACTGTATGGAGTTACTGGTCACATGTGGCATTCACTCCTCCACCCTACTGTCTGTCAACCTTCAGCCTTGATGACATATAACGGAGGAAGATGTGCTTCCTCCCTGTGCTTTTATGCCTAAGAGAGTTTAGGGGGTGAAATTCTGACCAGGGAAGTTACCTGGCTACAAAGGGAAGTGACCAAAAGTGGTTTCTTCATGTTTGGAGCACATTCTGTCCCTTCTCCTTGGATTCACCTGAAAGGACTGACCTTCCCCAAACATCATACTAGCTGGAATAAATAATGTCTGCAGGAGGACTTAAGCTCAAAGGACAAAATAGAGAATGCACAAAAAATACAGCTACTTCAAAAGAAAGGCAACAAACTGAACAATATATATCATGCTACCAAAACTGATAGATGAGGAATTTAAAATAAGCATGCCAGCAATATACTCAAGGAAATAATGGAAGATAGTAGCAAAATAAAATGTGAAAAAGAAGTCATTAAAAAGAACAAAGAGGAAATATGGTAAAAAATATCAGAAGTAAATAAAAATATACATAGTTTTTAAGTGAAGGGGCATGAGCATTTAAGTTATACATGCAGCATTAAATAAATAACTGAAATACAAGAAACAACGGATGAGACAGCAACAAAGCTATAGCGTAAGAAGGATTTTGATATAATTTGGATATTTGCCCCCTCCAAATCTCATGTTGAAATATGATCCCCAATGTTGGAGGTGGGGCCTGCTGGGAGGTATTTGGGTTGCAGGTGTGGATCACTCATGAATGGCTTGGTGCCTTCCCTGTGGTGAGTTCTCCCTCTATTAGTTCACAGGAGAGCTTGGTTTAAGAGCCTGGCATCTCTCTTGCTCCCTCTCTCACTATGTGACATGCCTGCTCCCACTTTGCCTTCCACCATCAGTGGAAGCTTCTTGAGGCCTCACCAGAAGCCAAGCAGATGCTGGTTCCATACTTGTACAGCCTGCAGAACCATGAACTAAATAAACATTTTTCTTTATACATTTCCCAGCCTCACGTGTTCCTTTATAGCAATGCAAAAACGGACACAGATTGTACGATTCAAAAGATAAGATTGAAGAACTGTCTCAGAAAACAGAAATGCTTCCAGAAAGCAGATAAGAAAAGCCAAATAATATAAATAGAAATGGAAGGATCAAATCTGGTCAACAGGAGAAGGAAGAATAAAAACAGTGAGCAAAAATATTTCAAGAAATCATGAAAACAAATTTTTAGAATTAAAGATTAAGGACATCAGACTCAAATTGAAAACACTCAAATAATAAAAGAAATAAATCCAGGAGGGCATTGTAAACAATGTGGGGAAGTAAGGATGGTAAGTGTCTTGATAAAGTTTTGTTTTGTTTTTGAGGAAAAAAAAAACCAAAAAAGGGAACAAGTGATTATTTCAACTAAAACTAAAAATCTACATTGTGATAATGGGATTTGGGGACATGGTACAGAGACCAAAAGAGTCTTGAGAAGGCAAGGTTGGGAAGCAGATAGAGATATTGAAAAGTCTAAGAAATCATAGGAAAACATAAACAATGAGTGCATGTTTTAAATTAACAGTGACCACTGTATGTTATATAGGTAAAGAATGTACAACTTTTAAACTTACAGAAGAATATGTAAGCTTTTCAGTGAAAAAGCAAAGTTTAAGAGGAGAAAAAGAAAGCATACTAAATAAAAAAATAAGATGGCAGAAATAAATTCTAAAATTTGCTCATGCCTTCTTCTTGAGGTGGAAGATTTTCCAAAATTCAAAATTCAGTTTATGAAGGTAAATTCTGAAAAAAATCAAGTTCAGTCATTTTCTAATCTGTTCAAACTATGAGGGACCCTATGCATTCTTTCCATTTCTATTTCCTCTTTTTGGTATGCAGAACAATAAAATACTGTAAAATCAAAATTTCTTTCAAATTTATCAAACATATTGTCACTAGATCTCATTTTCAGCCAAGTTGACCTGAGCTACCTTTTATAACTTATTAAACTTTTTGGGATTATTATTGAGTTCTTCCCTGAAATCTTCCCTATTATCCTTTATGTCATAGCTTGCTATATTAGGCACACTTGAGAGCTTTATTTTTCACTCAGCAAATATTCCATATTGACTGGTGTGATGAACTAGCATTATGCTTCCTAAGGGTGAAGCAAAAAGCACAAAGGCAAAATTGTATTTTCATTTGTTGCCTTGACTATATTTTTCTTGAATAAGTGAAAAATTAAGAAAAACAGAGTATAGCTGTGAACTAGCTCTGTAATAAGTAGATCAAAGAATTGAACTATCATGATGAATTGAGAAAAAAGAATGTAGCCTTTGTGATCCCTAGTGAATTAAGCTGCTTCCAGTTCATTTTTAAACCTGCACCTATTAAGTGAAAATCTTTTCTTGCGGCAATAAAAAAGATGTGATCCTTGTTCAATGGGATTTGATAACCATAAAGGTGGGAAAATGGCAGCCCAACTCACTTTACTTTACTTCAGTGTACTTACGTGAAATAATAGCTTCAACCGAGAGCTTACCTTGACAGTGAAGCGTTTTTTCTTTGGTGGATTCCAAACTGTGCCCGTCGAATGAATGAATGCACGCAAAGGGGTTAAGGACGTCACCAACACATACGCTTTAAGAATCACAGATAGATCTTCGGCTCGAAAGATTGTTTCATGTGGAGCAAGGACTGTCGTTTCATTCCTAAAAAAAAAAAAAAACATAGTTAGCGCTCCATAATGTAGGGTTGAGTACATAATTTGTAAATTACCTACAAGCTTTGTAAACTGCTTCTATCCTTTGTAGGACGCCAGCCCTCAGTGTGTGGGTTTCCTTGAACAATTTCAGTTGCTTATTAGCATCACCACCAGGTGGTGGAGAGGTACAGCGAGAAGGAGTCAAATTGGTAATAGTTCCCCACTCTGGCAGATTTAATCAAAGTATTTTTAAAAAGTAAAAAAGGTGGCTGAGCGTAGTGACTTATGCCTATAATCCCAGCACTTTGGGAGGCCGAGACAGGCGGATCATGAGCTCAGGAGTTGGAGACCAGGCTGGCCAACAGGGTGAAACCCTGTCTCTACTAAAAATACAAAAATTAGCTGGGCATGGTGGCATGGGCCTGTAGTCCCAGCTACTTGGGAGGCTGAGGCAGGAGAATCACTTGAACCTGGGAGGCGCAGGTTGCACTGAGCTGAGATTGCATCATTGCACTTCAGCTTGGGCAACAGAGCAAGACTTTGTCTCAAATAAATAAATTAATTAATTTAATTAAATAAAAAGGTGGAAAGGTAGTATGTAGAATAAAGTTGAATTTAAAAAATAAATATATAAATTAGTTACAGTACCCGTGACCTCAGATGCATGATACCATTGCAACAAAAGTGATATAAATTACAGTTTGGGTGAAACTTTCTAAAAGCTTCTACCTCTGCCTACCTTTGCTCTATTTTTTCTTCTCTAGAAAAAAATGTTAAGTTTTTAAATAGTGGACAGGTCACCAAGAATATGCGAAAATACTTTCCCCACTAGTTCAATCTTACCTAATGTCCCTACTCCCAGATAATGAAGAGTTAACTTAAGGGATGAAATATTAAAAAATTAAAAAAATTAAAAAAACACCTCAGGCTACTAAGGAAAAGTAACACCAGTTTAATATTTTGTAATGAAACAAATATGCTTTCATCATAAATGATACCAAAATGTATAATTATTTGCTTTTCTACATCATATTTCTAAATGTTAAATATCTAAGTTTGATCAATGAAAGGACTGTGCTTTTATACATATATATTTATATATATATTTATATATATATTATTTATATATTTATATATATTTTTATATATTTTTATATATATATATTTATATATATTTTTATATATTTTTATATATATATATTTGAGACAAGGTCTTGCTGTCACTCAGGCTGGAGTGAAGTGGTGCAATCACAGCTCACTGCAGCCTCCACTTCGAGGGCTCAGTTGGTTCTCCTGCCTCAGCCTCTTGAGTAGCTGAGACCACAGGCATGCACCACTGTGCCTGGCTAATTTTTCTATTTTTTGTATAGATGGATTCTCACTATGTTGCTCAGGCTGGTCTTGAACTACTGGGCTTAAATAATCCTCCTGCCTTGACCTCCCAAAGCACTGGGATCCCAGGCATGAGCCACTGCACCTGGCCTACTTTAAACTTTAAAATTCTAGGTTGGCACAAGATGCATATGATTCTTCAATAAATACTATTAACTGTTTAAATACTACTTAATAATTATAAAATTAGATGAGGCAAACTTATTTGTGTCTTGGGTAAGATAATTAAAACCTCTTAATTTTTAACTATAATTTATCTACATTATAAAATCCTTTCCCTGGAGAAAACTTGGATAACTTGATACACAGCAGATGCTTTCTTAGATGCTAAGAGCCATAAAAAAAATAGCAGAAAAAAAATGCATCCAGCCATATTCATAGTCTAAGGCAAAGTCATTTGAGTATAAAATGGAAGTTAAAATTTTATAGTTTTGCATTGTCAAGGTTTTAAATTCAATTTCCTTTAATGTAACTTATTAGATAAGAGTCCAATTTACCCAAATGTTTATTTTCTGGCAGGACAGGTTTGAATTAATCTAGGAGAAAGTCAATGATGGCATTCTTTATTTAAAAAGGATAGCTGAAAATTTATGTAAGAGAAACTAATAATTCACACATGTGAACCCCCCATATCTGTTCTGTGCTTTTCTCTTGTTAGCTGTCTCCTACAATGCATGCTGGTTATAACAATTCAAAATGATTAGCTTACAGCTGTTCACGACTCCAGTCCCCTGGTTTCCACACACGTGGCTTCACTGTTTTTAAAAGGTGACTCGAAGTACTCGGCTTTAATTGCATTCCCTGATCCAGACACACAGAGGGACTCACTGGAAGTTGCAGTTCTGAAAAGATTCAAGAGAGCAGAAGACAGTCATTTTATTGTTTCTTTCTGGAACTGCTTTGAAAATAGAGTATGCTGTATTAAACTGCAGGGTACATGAGAAATATGCAACCATTTTTCTCCCCATTCTGAATCAAAAATGGATCCACTAAGTATGAATGCATATTTAGAGAGGCCTTTGTTTGCCATATGTTCTCTTACTACAGAGGAGGAAAACAACTGTAATAATTGATTTCATTTTCTTGCTCAGAAGGGGAGGTAGATACAATGTCTCTAACTGTCCAACATCAAGCTGATCTATCCTACAAAGCTAAGGGATGCATTCTCAATGAGGGGGTGGTGGCTGCAAGAGCAGACTTTTGTTTGTCATGAGAATATTACATAGAAAACTTGAGCTGATTTCCTGACAATACAATGCTGATATACTAAACTTTGTTATGCTTCCTGACCTTGGGAATCTCAACAACAGGGCTTTATTGTCTTATAAAATATTAATTATTGGATTTTAAGGTATATAAAAATAAAGAACAATAATAATGGTTTACTTAAGAACACTCATATGGACATGCTTAAAAATAAAGTTATTGCATATACATGATTACAAAAATCAAATATTACAGAAAGCAATCAAATGAGCAGAAAAAGCATCCTCCAATTCACTTCTATCTAGAACCTCTTCCCACCAAAAACCAATGCTTACGTATTAACTTGTAAGATCTGAATAAGCACATTGGGTCAGATGCATATATTTCTTCAATATAAAAGTTGATGTAATTAATATAAATATCAATGTATCTACATGAACCTATATATGTAGGTATTTCTGTTTGTTTTTTTAATTATCCCAAAGAGGTGTCATAATAATATATGTCTGGCTTATTTATACCTACTAACCCATCCTGGCATCCTTTCCATATCAGCATATTCAGAGTTATTTCATACATACCTCTTAATAGCTTAGGGTGCGTCATTAAATAAATAAATATACATTTGATTTAGCCATTCTTTATTGTTGTGTATTTACATTATTTTTGTAATGTTTTTCTTTTGCTATTTCAAAAGTACTGCAATGAATACTCTTATACATCTATTTTGGTGTACTTTTACAAGTTTGTCTAGTGGCGGATTTGTATTGGTATGTGTAATTGCCAGGTCAATGGTAAACGCACTGCAAATTTGTTAGACATGACCAGATTGCCTCCCAAAATGGTTGCTCCAATTTCCACTCTCTCCAACAGTATTTAGAAGTTGTTTTCTTAATCCCAGGTCACAGTGCTTTATTTTTTAATTATATAATTTATCTAGCTCTCAAAATAGAACAAAGCCTTTAAATTATTTTTCCCCTTTGTGCACATTTCATCAATACTAACATAGTCTAATTTAAAACACTTCACACTCTTAAGTAAAAGTCAGCAGAAGTCAAGCTGTTCAATGTATTCCCGTATCTCATTATTTAGCACAGTGTGATCTTCCTCCAAAAATGATAACTTACTTGTAAGTTTTCCCTTTTAATGAAGTTCTAATACATCATAATAAAGGAAATATTCAAATGGCTTTGGTTTTGGAGGTGATGAATGAACAGCCATTAAGTTAATTTTCTTTTCTTGGGAATCACAACTTTTAAAAAGTTGAAATGTTTATGTAAGCCTTTCAATTTGCAGTAATAAAATACGTGTTCTTAATTAAAATTTTACTAAATAGAGTTATGTTTTCAGAGTCTATTACTAGGACAAGTTTTGTTTCTCCAAAGAGCTGATTTGGAGGCTTCTTTTGTATAGTATGAGAAAAGTATAATTTACTCTGATTTCCCTCTTACCTTGCTGCCAAAAAGCACAGAATTGATTTCAAACCCAAGCACACTTGACATTAAAGAAGCTAGACATATTAAGTTTTGTGCCAAGATAGTATCTCAATGGTTTTGAGGAAGTTGTCAAAAAACATGTCAAAAGAATAAACAATTTTATGTCACTTTTTTCTGGTTTAGCTCAAGTGGAGCTATACATGAAACTGAAGGGGTCCAATACAGGAATTGCCAAGACTATGTCAGATTTCCACATGAATCTCTGAAACTGTGATCGGATAATGGAAATGAATACTGAGCAAAATAATGTTACCTTTATTTTTATATGTATACATATATCAATAAATTCTAGGCTTCCAATTATATTATTCCAGGCTTGGATGTTACTTTTTATTATTCTAAAAGAAAAAAAAAAACCTCTGTAATTAGCTGTCCCCTCTAAAATTATTCTCATTTAACTTGATTATAGCCACAACTTAGATATAAGCTTCATTTATATCTTTAAAAGCTGCAAATGCATTTTATGGAATTTTATAAATAATCGTGTAAACATTTCAGTGTCCTAGGCTATCATTTAACAGATAAAGGTATGTCTGGAGCACTATTTCTTGTATCTGTTGGCATAGCCTTCAAGGGCTCTCTCAACAGTCCAGTCTAATCCATTTATTAATCCATCCCCCTTCTCCATAGCCCAACCAACACACTCAAAGAGCCTAGAAATCTCCTACAAACAATGCTCAAACGACCTTCTGTTTTTGGAAGGGATTTGGGTGATGAGGCTGTATGACACAGTCTTCCAAATAGCCTAGTTCATTAACATATACTTGTTAAAAATGTTAAAGTAACTTAATATGGAATACCTAGGCATGACTCTTTAGGGCTTTCCTGCCCGCATAATATGCAAACTGAATGGAAAATAGATTAAAATGTGAAATACCATATGGTGGATAGTGCTGTACTTTTATTTATTGGCTACTCTTAGCTTATTTTAGAGAGCCCTGAAGCCTGTAACTTTATGATCAGTAAAGTTTACCCAGAATAAAAGTGAACAATTTGTTAGGGATGCATGAAGCCTGCTTTTCAATATCTTTTAATATCTGGTTGGCTAGATACTGAGCGCCTGCTTATGGGGAAAAAGCATTATGAAAATGATGATTAAACCAGAAACAGGAGACCTGGGCTTTCGTTTTGGTTCTTGTCTACCAACAATTAATAGGCTTGTGACATTGTTAGGAAGCCTTCTAAAATCCAGAATGTAAATCCCATGAATCTTCTGAACTTCCCATATCACTGAACACTATACTGACTAAAATAAGCACTCAAATAAGTGCTCAGGAAATATTTGAAATATTTGTTCTAACAATGAACTTGTTTTGGAGGTTTAAGCCAATCTATGGTTAGAGAACAAAATCATATTCCAATGAATTAAAAACATTTTATTCGATTACTTCTTTCCCTTCTATGTGACATATGAGTATATACACCACAGTCAAATATTAAACACTGAAAAAACACTTACACTGGCAAAGATTAGATGCCAAATTCATATTGCATTTGATTTAATGTTTTGCCTTACAACTAATAATTAATAGGGAAGTAATAATAAAAGTATAATTATATTTCACAGATGTTTGAATATTGTCTTGCATTTTGATATTAGAAAATTAGATTTAGCCAGCATTTTCTTATTTTAAAATTTTCAATAAAGATAAAGGCCTTACTTAATAATTCGCAATTAGTTTTGAGATTAGAAGTATAAATAAGTACCATTTATGAGTACATTAATTGTTCCTCCTGCCTGAGGGCATTGATAAGTCTTAGAACTTAGCCTACAGGTATAACAGCTCTGCAAATATAACATCAGAACTTTCACATATAGCAAATAGAAACTAATATATGCACAAACTGAAGTCACAGCCAGGAAATCACTCTATCAGTCAGGGCCCCAGAAGACAGCAGAGTCAAAGGAGTAACTGAACAGACTACCAACCATGAGACTATTAAAGAAGGGACTGTTAACAAACACATGGGTATAGTTCAGGAAAATCAACAAGGGGTAGAGGAGCTCCCCAGGGCCGACAAAATGGGAAGCTTTTACCACTCTTAGCCCAGGAAGGAGAAGTTTCCAGAACCAGGCAAAAGCATTGTTATAGGAAAGGCCATTAAGAAGACTATGGCTACAGGTAGAGGAACACAGCCACTTTCAAGCCAGGGTCCAGAGGGGAAGGAGCCTGGCAACAAATATTCCCAAATTATTTCCTCCTGTCCTCAATCTCTTGCTAGATGCCAGGGGACAAGGTTGCCCTGTGGATGCAGTCTGTGGAGGACGGCTCCCTGGAGATGGGTGTAGAGTGAATCTGAGGGGCAAATAGAGAATATTCAGCACAAACTCTACACTGTACTTGGTAAATACAAGTTTTGGCCCTAGTCTTCTCAGTAGCCACAAGTCCTGGAGAAACAAACAAACAACTGTGTGTGTGTGTGTGTGTGTGTGTGTGTGTACAGAAAAAGGGAGCAATATTAGCTTTGATTTCAAATAAGAGCATTTAGATGTGGCAGCAAGGGATAGCATAGGTTGAGCCACATAAAACTGCCTTTTGTTAGGTAAAAAAAAATTGTTGAATGTTGATCAAATATCAGCAATTTCATAATGTTCAACCTAATTTTTTTCCTTCACCATGATGCCTACGGTGGGGAAGAAAGAGTGACTAAACATACTACTGTGAAAAACAGTTCCAGTGTCTAGAATGTCAGTAGGTAGAAATGGCAAAAAGGGGACCTTGAAATCACTCAATGAGTGTTCGTCTTGTGCTTTGAAAACAATAGAAGCCTAGTCTAAGTTGTGCCAGTTGCTAGAAGAGAACAAAAATCTTCAGCTCTGAATCTGTTTTCTCTTTGTATGATGATGAAAAAGTCTAGCAGCAAGTAGACTAAAAGAATAAGTAGATGGTGTCTAAGGTCCTTTGCAATCTTGAATCTCTGTGACCCTAGATACAAAGTTATGATTTAAATATGTGCTATAAATGGCCTAATGGAGAAGATAAGTGGCCAGGGTCTCAGCACCAGAGCTGAAATGCAGTCCCACTGTTAACTTCTCATGTTCTGGTCATTATGAGTGCTCCACAGGGTCAATCAGCTCCAATTTCATTTGAGTGAGGCTCAATAAGCCTCGTGGGAAGAGGCTTTAGCTGAACAAGCTCCTACCCCCTAACTACTATTTGAGGAGCATCAACCACCCTTTCACCTCTTAAGCAGTGTATAAAATGGTGAGAAAACATATCCCAAGGTAGAGTCAAGTTTACAAGCTTGATCACCCATTGGAAGTTAGAAGAGAAGGGTTATTTTGAATGCATCTAAGGGTATTCTCAGTTCACTAGACTATAAGCTCCATGACGGCAAAGATTCTAATTTTTTTTTCTCCACTGAATGACTAGTGCCAAGCACCAAACACATCCTGGCACTTAATATAGGATCTCAGATAAATCTATACTTAATAAGTGAACTCCACTTCTTCTTACCCAAATAACCAGATGTATGTACAGAAATGAAAAGAGTAAACAAGCCAACTGCTGAGCAACTTCACTGGATTTGTATAAGGCAAACTTATTGTTCAGACCTAGGAAATGTGTATAACATGGGTGGGGATTGGTTTTCTCTCGCTACCACAATGTAGTGTTAGATTGGCACAATACTACGTACACAAGAGTGGGTTGCAACAATGGCACCAAGGCAGTCCCAGGAAGGGATCCACAGCTCATAGATTAACTATCTAAGACCAAGAGGCCTAATATCAGCAAAGCCCCCTGGAACCCACAATGAGCATGGGAAAGCATAGGAGAGAATGTCACCAGCAGACAGCCAAAAGGAAGGCTGCTCCTTACAAGGACACTGAGAAAGTTAAGGATTTAGAGGCCTAGGGTTCATTTGTTTTACCAAATTGCCTGAACTTGGGCCCAAGATGATGTGGGGGAAACCAATAAAGATGCATAATCTAATTTGTCCAGCACATTATAGATAGTTGCTAAATAATAT
This sequence comes from Homo sapiens, assembly GCF_000001405.40. Lineage (NCBI taxonomy): Eukaryota > Metazoa > Chordata > Mammalia > Primates > Hominidae > Homo > Homo sapiens. The sequence continues at coordinate 121,091,866 of NC_000007.14, read as the reverse complement.
TTTTCCAAAAATATTTTACAAATAATATTATAAATAACATTTTAAAAACACGAATTTCTGTTTATTAATAGATGCCTATATAAGTGTAATCATGAGTCAATTTCTTTACTTTTTAAAATTCAGTCTCTTTATCTGGAAAATTAGAATAATAAGAATAGTAATACTAAGAACTTACCTCATGTGGATGCTGACAGAATTAAATATGAATTTCCCTTAAAGTGCTTTGCACAGCCTTTGACTTATATGCTCAAGAAGTGTTACACAGTTGCTACTATTAAATAGTAGTTTAATATAGATTTTTTAATAATCTAGAAATCTTGTTTCTAACTTCGGAAATTTCAAAGAGTAGCTACAATGTTATTCCTTTTGAGTTTAACACTAACAGGTTCCCACCACTACTCACTAACAGATAAAAGTGAATCCACTGAATCCTCTTATGGCATTCTTAAACATCTGGTATTTGACATTACTCTCTTAAAAACAAGACCAAAATAAAACACAGTATCTTTACTTATACATGGCCTGTAAAGACACACTATGTTTTTAGTGATCCTCCTCAAATTTTGCATTGCAGTATCCCAGGAAAGGAATTCATTTCTTGTTCTGTTTCACTTCTTTAAAGGAATTCTGTATTAGGTTTCTATGGATGGAGTAAACCTAGGACTGAGTCAGTTACTGCAATTTTTTTTTTCAGTTACTGCAGTATTTAAGTCTCTTCCTCTGTATTTTGTTCAGACATACTTCTTTTCAAGCAACCAACTCAAATTAAAACAGAAATAGCTTGTAGTCAACAGATTTATGACACCTAGACAAAACTCCAGGAACTATTTCAGACCTACACTTCAGCTTAAATAATATAATTTGGGGATCTGTATACTCTGAACAATTCTATGCTTTTTTTTTTATTTTTATTTTTTTAGATAGAGTCTCACTCTGTCACTCAGGCTGGAGTGCCAGTGGCAGGATCTCGGCTCACTACAACCTCTGCCTTATGGGTTCAAGCGATTCTTGTGTCTCAGCCTCTCGAGTAGCTGGGATTATAGGCAACCGCCACCATGCCCGGTTAATTTTTGTATTTTTAATAGAGACAGGGTTTCACCATGTTGGCCAGGCTGGTCTTGAACTCCTTACCTCAGGAGATCTGCCCTCCTTGGCCTCCCAAAGTGCTAGGATTACAGCTGTGAACCACGCCTGGCCTAAACACATCGATTCTTTAATACGTTTTTACTTTTATTTTATGCAAATAGCATTGACCAGAGTATCTTTGAGAGAATGGATACGCCAAACACATAAAGGTATATTAGTACAGAATTCTAGCCTTAACATAGGCAACTCATAATTCACTTATCAAGATCTGACATTATTGTATTACTACTTGTGTGACTTTGATAACAATATTTTATTCTCTATGGTTTCAGAATATCTTTCATATGATGTTATCATATCAGTGTACAACAAACCACAAATACGAATAGTATGGTATTTCTAGACAGTACTCTTGGCAGAAAAACAGTAACTTTCACTTTGTTATAGGAAATGAAATGTAGTCCATGTCCCAGTGAAGTGGAGACACAATTTGACCCATAAAAGTGGCCAGATCAATGACACAGCAATGTGCTCTAAAGGGGTAGTCATTGTACAAAATTTCCACCAACTAACCACTCAATCAAATGCTTATGGAGCACTCAGTAAACGCAAGCCATGAACGCTCTTCTTTGTAGTCTTTTTCAGTGGAAGTGTCAAAGTCATGCAATTCTACAGAAATAATTTTCCCCTTGGACTGCTCTATGTTTTGACCATGACCACATAAGAACCTTGAGTTCTGCTCATTCTTGTCGGTTATAAAAGCTGTATCTAGACTACTACTTCAATTTTCTTGCCCTATGATTTCGCTGCAATGACCACACAGCATGAAAGATTGTTTTATTACTTTATGGCAGTTTAATTTTCCTTTGATGGTTTTCTGCATGAATTTTCCAGGGGAAATGACATTTTTTTAAAAAAGAAAAATGCTTGACTACTGCAACAAGACCAAAGGTGGATAATTTAGTATAAATTAATGAGCATCATTAATAACAATTTAAAACACAACCTCCAAAAAATATTAACACATAGAGTGAAACAAATATGATAATAGAATGGCAGCCTAAACCCACCCACTGTGAAAAGTAGTTTATCACTTTATTAATAGTAAACTTTTTTCTCAGGAATATTTTCTGCAGTAACTATCAGATATCATTGAAATAATTTAAGTCAGAATAATAACTTACTAGAACCCTATAACAGTGATTCCAAATTATGTATGTATATATATGAAAGTCAATTCTAATTTAAATGTAACACACAAACACTAGGGGTCATGGCTCCTATTTAAATGAAACCATGTGTTAATATATCTTTTACTTAATGGCAACTTCACAGGCAAATTTAACCTTCAATTTTTACCTGGTATTTTTGGTATAATAAAATGTACACAATATTCCTGTTAATTTACCTCTATTTCTATGTTATTTAAAAGTAAACATATGTGAACCAAGTACATATTTAAAATATCAAGATTTTTATAATATCTGACTCCCAAAAGGAGGTAAGAATATAGACCTTGGAGAGGCAAGAGCCAATGGCCACAATGAAATCTAATGAGGGTTAGAGCTCCAAATGCCAGAAACAAGTCAAAAACATGGAAATATGTCAGAAAAGATGTTCTGATAGGATTACTAAACCATTTTGCCTTGAGGTTCTTTCCCTCCAGTTGCTCAGTGATATGATTAGAACCTGAGGGGTTCAGGTTTGGCTGAGTGACATATAACACAAGAGTTCACTCCTCATAGATGAGGACCCAAGGGCCTGAGTCAGAAGCCAGGCAGAACCTGAGAAGAGTTTCTGAAATGGTGTCTCAATTCTCAGCCTTAGCTAGTTATCCCCATCATTAGCCAGGTACATCTATCTTATATCTTGCATATGAGTAAAGAATTATCCAATTAATTTGAGCCAAGAGGGGAAGGGCCTTCCTATCTGAAGTGCTAAATAATTGCTGGTCTTTAAAGATGTTAATGAGATTATTACACTTTCAATTTTTTTTTTTTTTTTTTTTTTTTTTTTTGCCAATTTTTGCCTAGATTTTAACTTTTGAAGTTAACCTGTTTCTTTTGCAGGGAGAATTTAAGCCAGGACGTTACATTCAAATGACTACTTTTCTTTTTTTTTTGAGAAGCAGTCTCGCACCGTCGCCCAGGCTGGAGTGCAGTGGGACAATCTCGGCTCACTGCAACCTCTGCCTCCCGGATTCATGCGATTCTCCTGCCTCAGCCTCCCGAGTAGCTGGAATTACAGGCGCACACCATCACACCCAACTAATTTTTTGTATTTTTAGTAGATATGGGGTGTCACTATGTTGGTCAGACTGGTCTTGAACTCTTGACATCGTGATCTGCCCACCTCAGCCTCCCAAAGTGCTGGGATTACAGGCGTGAGCCACTGCGCCCGGCCTCAAATGACTATTTCTGTAAGGATATTCTTCCAAGTTTTCTGTAATCATCTCTTATCATTTGTGCTGGCAAGATGCTTTTACCATATATATGAATATACATACGTATGAATTATTTTTCACAAATTTAACATACGCTAACCCAGGCTTTAGAGTTTTGACATCAGCATCTTGTTTCAATTAACACCACTTGTTTGCATGGCCCTGTATAACAATCCTAGACTTGAACTTCCTGTTTTAAACTGCTAAATAAATGCCTAAGAATAGGTGAATGATGGATAAGAAGTCATTTATATCTTGCTATTTCTTATCAAATATATTAAGTATCTTAGAGAAAATAATTTTGTAGCACTCAATGTCACATTCATTTTCAATATATTAGGGAAGTATAGTCCTAGCTTTAAAAATCTTGTGAGCTTGGGCCAGGCATGGTGGTTCATGCCTGTAATCCCAGCACTTTAGGAGGCTGAAGCAGGTGGATCACGAGGTCAGGAGTTCAAGATCAGCCTGGCCAAGATGGTGAAACCCTGTCTCTACTAAAAATTAAAAAACATTAGCCAGGCATGGTGGTGGGCGTCTGTAATCCCAGCTACTCAGGAGGCTGAGGCAGAGAATTGCTTGAACCCGGGAGGCAGAGGTTGCAGTGAGTCAAGATCATGCCACTGCATTCCAGCCTGGGCAACTGAGAAAGACTCTGCCAAAAAAAAAAAAACAGGAAAGAAAAGAAAAAGAAAGAATCCTTGAGCTTGAACTCTTTGTCATATTTTGGCTGTGCAGACCCAGATAGTGGAAGCTGAATAAAAGCTTGAATTGTAAGTAGTAGAGATAATTCAAGTTAGCTTTAAGTTAAAATGGGAAATTATTGGATAACAGTAAAAAAAATGTCAAAATACAGATACCCCTCTTCCTTCCCTCTCTAAGAAAGAGGGATACAGGCTAATTTGGGAACCAAGTCTTTATTATGTTGTTTGAAGTAATGGGAAATAATAAACTGATTTATTAATCTATATCAGTTTGTTGGAGAGAGAAGAGTGGACAAAGAGACCAATGAAGAGAGATGTTGGGCAGGATAGTGTTTTAGTGAGCTAGAGGGAGTTACTTAGTAGGAGAAGAGGGTTATAAAAACTGAATTTGGCAAAAAATTTATTGTGTATTGAGGATGGCTAATTCCCCCTTTGCTGCCTTTTTGTTTGCCTCCCCCAACCAAAGAAAAAAAACTATATTAAAATTTCCAACTCCTATTCAAGACTTTGGGAATCAGATCTGTTGTTATTGGGTGGAGAGGGGATTGAGTGTTTTAATTTGTTTATTTATTTACTTAATACAATGTAATGCTCAGCTTTCTCTCTAAGGGGTCATTTCTACCTAGGTCCCCTGCTATGCCTGGCTCAAGCCCTCATGGCTGGGGTTAGGTTCCCTTGCCCAAGTTTGCCTCTGAGGTCAGCCAGTGAAGAGTGATGGTCATTGGTAGCAGAGCAAAATCAGATTTAGAGCAAAAGTGCATGAATTTTCCATTAGGAGAGAGGGTAAACTCAAGAATGTTCATTCAATTTCATGGATCTGGAGTGAAAAGTGGCAAAAGTTCATGGCCACCCTTATCCATCAAATGATTTGCAATTCAGGTTTTCAGCACTGTGCTTCAAAACCACTCACCTTGTTTCCAACTTGCAGTGACTGCCACTATCTTGGAGAATGTTGGCATTTACTCAGCATTTCCTTCTATCCCTTGAATCTAGCTTTTCCAACCCAAATCACTTAAAAAATTTGCAGTATCTACCAGTCCCAGGAGTCTGAGTTGACATTTGGGCACATGTTTCTCACTAGTGCCCAAATGATTTTCAAAATCAACATAAGACTCAAATTTTTTTGTTTTCTTTCCAGTTTGTATACTTTCCCTCATGAGCCATATTCTACATAATTGAGGGCTTTTTATCGACAAATGGCTTAAAATGTTGTTTCAATGGCTTTTAAACAACAAAATACCTTATTAAAATCTTTCCATTAGGTAAGGTTTCCTTAATTAAAACTCTGAGTACACCTGGCACATTTCTCATTTTGCTCTTGGCACAACAAATGTGTAGATTTACCAATAAATCACGTAATTGGAAAAATTTAGATATCATTTTGTGGGTGGTATCTTTGCTTTTTATAGCCTGCTACAAATACAGTTGAAAGTTCTTTCCCTTAAATGACACAAAACTGTTCTAAAATTGGCTGCTGGGCTGACCTACACGGGACTGAGGGAAGGAATGTAGAAACAGAAACATTACAAAATACTGAACTGAAGAAGACAGATTAAGCATAACCTTTCTACTCAACCATGTCATCTTCCTCCCTTTCTTCTCAATTCTGTATTTAGATTCAAAGTAAACCTTCCTGCTTCTGCAATATTTGGATCACAATGGTATAAATAGTTACGGCTTTATATGTGAAGGTTGAATTCAGCTCTGTATCCAAACTCTGTTCGGGAGAAATATTTCAGGCTCAGTCGGGACATTGTTAAAACCCAGGGGTACTAAACACACCATGACAACCCCCCAAATAGGAAATGGTAGAAAATACATCTATTTTTTGTTGTTGTTCTTTTAAACCCTATCGTCAATGAGAGATGACAAGATGCTATTCGGTTATTATTTATCAGTATAGTGCAGTTTTAGTGTGAAACTAATCCATGTTCAATAAGGAGTCCACTGTGTCTGGCCTTGACTGGCAGAACTATGCATGAGGTTTAATAGTAAGGAATCTCTCCTAAAGAAAAAAGAGGTAGATGGCAAGAGAAGCCCAAGGATACCAGGATGACAAAAAAGAAAGGCACTTTTTTGTATGCTGTTCTTGTATTCCACAGGCTCCACTTCCACTCCAGGGTTTAGGTCAAAAGCTAAAACAATACTAAAACATTTTTTTCAAGTTATCTGTGAGATGTTGAGACTATAATATTACATACAATAGAAAAAAATAATAAAGAAGGATTTTGCCTACTGAACTGAAAAAATCCAATTTATTTTTTACTTATTCAGGCTTTGGAAAACTAAAGGGATGACAGGCCCTGGGCAGGACAATGACTAGTACAGTGGGATGTACACCAGCAGTTTGTTTCAGCAGCAGCAGGAGGAGAAGCAGGTACTGCATGAATCTCTGTCCCTGACCCTGGACATGGCACCTCAGCACAGACACAGGCAGCTGCAGCAGCAGGACCGATGCCACATGGAGCCCAGGGGCAGAGTGCCTTTGGTGGGCATGAGCAGTGGTGTACATCAGCAGCAGATGGCCATGGGGGACTCCAGCAGAAGTGGAGTAAACGGTGAATATAGCTGTAACAAGTATGAGAGGATTGTACTTATGAATACATAGGAAGTGATCTCTGAGACAAAGGGAGCATTTGGGGCCGTCACTACGATGAGCAATGCTACTGAAATTTAATGGATAAAGGCCACAAATAGATTTGTGCCTTATGCAAGATAGATCTGGTATTTCTTTGGAATGCACTGGTAAGGTATAAAGTCTAACATCTGTTTAAATGGTTAGGCATTCATTCTCATACCACAACAGCTGCTACGATGCTGAGTATCACCCTGTGCAACAACACATTGTCCCCTGTCCCACATAACTTTTGAATGTCTCAATGGATATTGATGTGGATGAAAAGCCAGTTGGTAATTATTTGAACCTAGAGCTTGATGTGGTTTTGCATATAAACTCAGTTTTACTCATTTTAATCAGTTTTATTACATACTGAATTTTGCAGAAATGAAATTCCATGGCCAAGCAAGGGGACACTAAGCTTTGCTTTATTTGTGACTTTCTCCAGAGCTGTTTCCATTTTGGAAAGGCACATCACCAATAGCAATGTGACCTATGGAATCTTAGTTTCCCTCTATGATACAACCACAGCAATTTGAATTTGTAGCTGTCACATTCATGGTGATTCTACAGATGAGTGGAAGCATCTGACTATTTCATTACACCCTATGGTGTAATCGTGCATAAATATTTACACATTGAAATACATGTTGTTATATTATAAATTACTTTCACCTTAATTTTCCTTTATAAAAGAGTTGGGGTATTATACTGGTTTGTTAAAATTATGTGGATAGGCGAGTTATAGATATTTCATTCTGGATCAACCAGGTGTCAATGAATATATATCTATTTTCAAAAGAGAATTTGGAGTCTGATAGGAGTGAGAGAATTGCTTTATGATGACTCAGTAGTGGTTAGTAACAGGATATTAGGGGGAAGGAGCCTGAAAATAGCAAATGTAGGTAGAGGCAAAGAAATATTTTTGTAATGATTTTAGAATCCAAGTTCTATCTCCAGGTTAGTGAGTCTTAAAAACATGAGTCTCACCAAACTAGATTAAAGTCGTAGCTACTAATTATAAACTAACAGTTCTGGAGATACTTATTGAAAAAACAATCATAATACTCAGCATTTATGGGGTGCTCACTGTGCATTGTTCCAAGTACTTGAAATGTATTAACTCATTCTGTCCTCTTAGCAACCCTAGGAGACAGAGTCCTGATCATCCCTACATTGTAGACAGAAAGCTGAAGCACAGACTACAGTCCCATACCACCCTGAAAGTGCTCAATCTGGTCTGATTTCGGAAGTTAAGCAGGGTCGGGCTTGGTCAGTACTTAGATGGAAGAAAAGCGAAGCACAAAGAAGGTACAACTTGCCCAAGGACACTGGGATATCAAGTGGTCAGGACAGGATTTACACATACGCAGCCTGGCTCCATCTGTACCTCCCTGCTATCCTCCAGCACCTGTGCAATCAGGTCAAAGCAATTACTCATTCTGAAAACTATTTTCAACAACCATTAATTCCACAGAAATCACATATTTCCCATAAAATATAATTTGGCTCTACTTGCATTCATTAATTAACATTCCCAGATTGGTGCTATACAAACCAGCTTGGCAGCACAATCAGTGAATTCTAAAGACTATCATAAACCCTCCCAAGAAGACCAGAAGGACAGCTTCAAAAAGCTAGGACAACTAATTCTTGGCCCTTCCAAGTGCCCCATGTGGGAGGGGGTCACTATTATTCTGGAGGCCCAGAGCTAATGCTGGTGGTGGCTACACCCACATCTGACTCATCATGAATCCCAGGCATAAGACTGGACTGTAAGGTTTGCATTGGTAAATTTTCTATGCTGCCTAGAAAGGCTGTAGATGGTTTGCAGAGCTGAGTCTGGAGTAGGCACATCAGAAAAGAGGTAACAGAAAAGGGTAAGGAGGACCCTCAAGGAGGAGAGTGCCAGTGAGAGCTGAGGACTGGAGCTTCTGACTCTCCCAGGGCTGTTCATTCCCATCTGCTGTTGAATGCCCTATACAAACACTAAGACAAAGCAAGAGAAAGACAGACAGTCTTCTGCCTTCAGCACATTCACTTAACTTCTGCTTATGCATAAATATTATTATAAATAAGAAATTTAAAGGATCATTTTAGTTGATGAAAGAATAATAAATAATAATAGAATAGGTAAATTCAGTTTCTCATTAGGCCTAGCTGAAACAATTTTCTTTAAATAGCTCCTTTCTTATTTTCTTATTTATAAGACAGACTTAAAATACAGTATAGTGGTTCAAGTTTATCACAAAGTTATAGCATAATACTTTAGATATGGATATGCTGCTTTACAGCTGTGTAGCCCAGAGGTTCTTGAAGGCTTCATTTACTCATCTAAAAAAGGCATGAATATATCTATCTTACAGATGGTTATCCTATAGATGGTTTAAAGACAGAAGTGTATAAAGTGCCTGACATAGTGTCTGACATATAAGTTAAAAATTTAATGTCATCTCCTGCTTTATTTTAGGGTAATCTATCTATAAAATAATCCTGCAGCATAAAATCATAAAGCCCACCATAATTATCTAGAAAACAAACCAAAAACAAGTATTATGTTTTTTGATTATACTCAACCTCTTAATTGTACTTACTTGCCTATTTCTTTCTAAATCAGAATGCCTCAAAAAAGCACATTATATATTATTGTGACAGCTTTATGTTGAGGTAGAAAACAGAAAACCTCATTCAATTGCTTTCTGCAAATCAATCCATGGATATCCAGAGTAATATAGACATAATCTCTTATATATTATTTTCATAGACTCATAATATTCTTTTATAAAGCATTTTCATAACTCTATAAGGAAAGAATGGTCAGTTTAATTATTTCCATTTTACAAGTCTAGAAAAGCAGCTCAAATGGGCTAAGGACTTTTCCCAAAGTTGCATGACTATATTTAGCAGCTAGGTGGAACTGGAATTAGGTTGCTGCAAGCCTGGGCCATAGGATTCCTGATTTCTGCCATCACTGTAAATTCCTTCCTTTAGGGTTAAAATTCATATCAAAACATACATACATACATTCTCATAGATGCTCAGAAATAGGTGGGGCAAAATGCGCCATGAAAAGGCCCTCTCAGCTAATGTGGATGAATTAACTGCTATAGAGGGTTGAAAGAAGGAAGTGTATAAAGTGCCTGACACAGTGTTTGACATACGATAAGTTCAACAAATTAATGTTCTCTCCTGTTATTATTTTAGGGTAACATCTATAAAATAATCCTGCAGCATAAATCATAAAGCCCACCATAATTATCTACACAACAAGCCAAAAGCGAGTACTAATTATGCTTGTTGACTGTACTCAATCTCTAAGTTGCACTTACTTGCCTATTTTTCTAAATCAGAGTACCTCCTTTTGGGCAAAAGTTGGCCTTCTCAAATGCAACACATTTGCTTGTGAAATGAGTATCAACACTGGGATTGCACAGCTGCTCTAACCCTATGATGTTAATGAAAGTGACGCAGAAGAAAAGAGAAAGTTCCATATTTCACCATTAGATGGTGCTAGGAGAAGTGGAAAGAAAATGGTCTTAAAAGTTATTGATGCAATGAATCACAGGATTTGAATGGGGTTTTCTATATAATAGAGTTCATGCTTCTCTCCCAGAAAGGAGCACACCCAACCCATCAAAGAGTAAAACATCTTCCAAAGCTACCCTATTTATTCAGTTAATTATACTTCTGCCAGACATGTTCCTTTCTAACCACAACTTCAAATGCAAATGAAAGACTCTAAGATTCTATTAAGGAAAACGAATGTATTGCACTTCGTTTATAGTTTGCTGCAACTCTCATTTTGAGTCTTTATCAATATATTTTTCAACAGGATGTGTCAGATTGGAAGAGGCTAGACGCCTGTGACAATGCATTTATCCTACTAATATTAATTATGGTTAAAATGAAAAGTAAATTCAAGAGACTAGTCATAACGAGCATCACCTTTCCATGAGTAACATGTTATATACCATACAATTTATGGAGTTCTGTGCATTTCAGCTAATGCATCACTTTGGTGGGCTTTTATTTTCTAATATTGATGATATGTTGCAAATCAGAAATCAGTGCATAGCCCTGGACTTCTGTGAAAATAAATGAAAACAGCCTTGAGCACTGCAAACTTACTATTTTTCTTTTATAACACTTGTAAGTTTCTTGTTGCTCAATATCTGTCTCTACCACCAGAAGGAGACTGGAAGAGTGATCATCTTGAAGTTCAAAACAGTATATCCCCCAACACCAAACTCTCTCCCTCCCTCTCAATCTCTTTCTCTCTGGGTATATGTATGTGTGTGTGTGTGTGTGTAAAATGAAGGTTTTTAAAATGCATAAGTAAATAATACAAATTACAGTACAGTATAGTTCTCTTTCACTTATTGGTTTTATTCACAAAGCAGGTATGTAAATTTTAGGGTGAATTTTCTCCACCTCAGCAGCGAACTCCTGGAACTTGATTGTACTCTGTACCCTTAACTCAGTCTTCATAATCCCCAGGCAGAGCCCCTGATGGCTTCAAAATAAAAAGTTTGACCACTTCTGCAAAAAAATTCTCATTATTTTGAAGCAAGCAATGTGTTTTAGAAATCTGATCCAGGTTTCAGATTAACTCCTAATATTTCTGTTGCAAACATAATGGTTCAGGAAGAATTTATTGGGGCAAATATCATATCACAATCACTGGGCGATGTATTAGTTGAGGAAGATCCAAACAATTGTAATATACTTTATTTTATAGTATACTTTATTCTCACAGGCTATATAGTGAGACATGGAATATGTCTACACACAACTAAGAATAAACTATTGATTAATAGACTCAGGCTAGGTGAACAGGATAACCAAATCTGCAAAGTAAAAATATGGTATACTACTCAGTGTTTATTATGTAATGCAAAGAAATCCAATATCAATTGCTTGAAGTTCATGTGTTAGCCAGCTGTTTTGGTATTATACAGACACACTGCTACACATCTATGTTTACCATCTACGTGAGTAAACGGGCCTGCTGGAGGGATTTAGATCAAAAAACTGAATATCTTTCTTTTCACTTCTTCAGTTTTGGTCTATTGAAAATCAGAATTAATTGTCAGAATCCTACAAATTATCAGCGTGTTACCCAATGTTGCCTCTAATTTCTAGTGGCATTTGGCACAAGATGACAAACTCTCTAAGTGAAATAGGTAAGTGTCTGTACAGGACAACATAAGTATAGAAGTCAAACACCAGAAACATAAAATTTCCCAAATCAGTTTGACACTGGGGTCTTCGAAATTTACTCTACCAAAGAGCAGAGGGGTTATTCAGCTTTCTCAGCCAGTCAGTCTTTTGCACAACTTCAGAGATGTCAGCAAACTGCCAAATGTTTTCTGGAAAGTGGACTTTTAAACTGGCCTGATGCCAAAGCAAAGTATAAAGCTATGAGCAACACAGGAGCAAGAGACACCTTTGGCTAAGTGAGCCTGGTCTATCTTTTGCGAGACAAAGAACCAAGCATGGCACAGAAAGGCAATTCTACATATAGACCAGCAGATGGGCACCTGGGTAGCCAGTGGGCAGTATCAGAGTTCTTGGTGCTGAAGGGAAGGAAAGATTAATATTTCCTTACTTTAAAATGATTTTGAAAGGACTACATCTGCCTAAGAATTCCATGGGCTTTACCATAAGCAGTCAACAAACATTTTTCAAACACCTCTACTAATACACATCTATTGTTTTTGTCCAGTGTCTCTTTCTTCTTTGGGGATCTGTTCTCTCGTTTCCATGTGATATCATGAATCTGCTACTCGCAGCCTTCTGTCTTCTCCACCCATCCCTGGCTGCTATGAGCCAAATTGTGTTCCTCCCCCATATTTATATGTTGAAGTCCTAACCTCCAGTCCCTGGGAATATGGGTGTATGTGAAGATAGGGCCTTTAAGGAGGTAGTTAAAGTGAAATGAAATCACTTGAGTGTGCCCTAATCCAATATGGCTGATGTCCTGAGGGGAACAGGACACAGACATAGGCTTGCACATAAGGAAAAGAACATGTGAGAACATCCCAAGAAGGCGGTCATCTGCAAGTCAAAGAGAGGCCCCAGAAGAAAGCAGCTCTGCTGACACCTTATCTTAGACTTCCAGCCTCCAGAACTGTGGAAATGAAATTTCTTTTGTTTAAGCCACCCAGTCTGTGGTACTTTGTTACGGCAGCCCTAGCAAACTAATACAGTGCCCATGGGAGCAGCCTCAGCCCAACCATTCACAGGAGCTATTCTCCTGGTCACAGTGTTGAGCAGAGTGGGCTGTTGACACATGTTGGTCTCCCAGTTTGGAGGTGAAAAGGAAGTGGCTGCATTTCTGAACAGGGAGTACCTGGCAGCCATCTTCTCCATCATGTGGAGAAAGCCCATCTGCAGAAAGAGAGAATAAGGCCAACATACAGAAATAGTTAGGATATATGCAATTCAAGCATAAAATGGTCAGAGTTTCAACTAGTATGTCAATAATAGAAGTCTTTTTTTTTTTTTTTTTTTTTTTTTTTCTTTCTTTCTTTCTTTCCAGAGACAGGATCTCATGTTACCCAGGCTGGTCTCAAACTCCTGGCCACAAGCAGTCCTCCTAGAAAAGTCGTTTACTTCAAAACTAAGAAATGGCTTATGAAAATGTCATGCTCCACTAAAAATTAAAAAACAAATCAGGCCACGTGCAGTGGCTCACACCTGTAATCCCAGCACTTTGGGAGGCCAAGGAGGGTGGATCACAAGGTCAAGAAATTGAGACCACCCTGGCCAACATGATGAAACCCCATCTCTATCAAAAATACAAAAATTAGCTGGGTGTGGTGGTGCACACCTATAGTCCCAGCTACTCGGGAGACTGAGGCAGGAGAATCACGTGAACTCAGGAGTGGAGATTGCAATGACAGGAGATCGTGCCACTGTACTCCAGCCTGGCGAGAGTGAGACTCCATCTCAAAAACAAAAACAAAACAAAAAATACAAATCATATAGTAGTATGAAGTAAAAAGTAAGAAGCGAAAAACAAATCATAAAGTACTGAACAACAGAGTATAAAAAGAAAAAACTAACCGAGCAAGGTAAATTCTAATTACTTCTGAGGATACTCTAAGCCTGAAAGTGAGGTGTAAAAAACACTTTAAAAATAATAATTTGATTATATAAAAATTTTAAACGTATGTGAGCCTAGAAATACCATAAATAAAGGTAAAAGACAAGTATATATTTACATTTAAAAAAATTAGTATGTTTGTAAATATGTAAGTGTATCTATTTTAAAACAAAGCATATTGTTAATATACATTTTAAATACATATTGTATAAATGGAAAAATATATAAAATATATTAATACATATATATATAATGTATGCATTATTGAGCCTACTTTCCTTTCTATTATTTTTAACTCAACAATATGGTTGGAACATTTTTGTAACATTAAATGTAGATATCCATTATTTATGTCTTCAGTTTCCCACCAATAAATGTGCAATAATTTGTTCACACTTGAATTATGTAGCATTCTAGTATGTAAAAATTGCACATGAATGGGAAAGGTATGTAATTTCACTAAATTCATTTTTTGCTTTCTTTTTGCTTATCTGTATTTTCTATTCTTTTCATATGAATGTCTTACTGTTTAATAAAGACATAATAAAAGCAAAAGCTAAAAGGAATGAAAAAATGCATGTCCAGTCATTTTTAAAATTTGACTTCCATTTTCATTAACTTCCTTCTCATGGATGGCTAGAAACCTAAAAAGGATACAGGAAAGAAAAAGAAGAACATGTCTACTAAGTTTCATTTTTGATAAATAGAGAGAATCACAAAAAAGTGGGGGTAGAAAATATACCCACCACCACTGATTGCTGTTAATCTACTCTAGAGTTCCTTATCTGGAGTCATTATTTTCAGACTGAACTCTCCCAAGTTTCATGGGGGATGGAGTGGTGTCAAGCAGGAGTCTCCAGGGGCCACCAGGAGGAAGAAAATAAAGGGCAAAGAGGAGGATACAGGGCAGAGGATCCTACCCTTTATCACAGTCATTCTATTTCTTTCTTGGTTATATGGGACTCCTGAGTATTTTTTTTTAAAGTTTAGAGCTTTAAAAAAATCCACCAATATCCACTGCAATCTAGATCAATGTTCTTTCTTTCTGATTTAGGTTTTTCTGGCCATATATCATACACCCTCACTTTTTTCTTTACAAGATCCGTGGAGAAGAAAAGCTAAAGCCCGATAGTCAGCAAGAAATAGCAGATTTATTCCCTTTTCCCTGAATACAGAACCATTAGGATGAAGACACTTCCCAGAGAGCTAATCTATAAGAAGTACTAAAACATTGCTGGATAAGAAGAGAGAGAAAACTCTCACCATTGTCTTCCTATTCCATCCTCTGGCAGTCAGCACTTAGCTTCTCCTCAAATGAAAGGTGAACGAATACTAAAAGACTTGGGTTGAAATGTACAAAACTATGAGTCAGCCTGAAAAAATTACTTGTTCATCTCCAGACCACATGCATAAGGATCAACCAACCACATAAGAAAGGGTCAAACCTGTCCTTTTAGATAGCAGTAACAGTCTCTCAGCTGCAATGGTAACCACCCAGAAATTGATCCTATATTATGAAAGCTGTTACTATCTTTCTACCTAGTTTATGGACAATATTAAAACTAGTTCTCTAGTTCTTTCACACATGTAGAAAGCTTATTATTTAAAATGGTTAATTATGTCTCGCAGGAGTGGGGAATTATATTTTTGATTTATCCTACCCTTATTATTTGCCCCATAGCATCAGCTCAATATCGAGCTCATAATGCATACATAGAGAAATCAGTCCAGGCATTGCCAAAACTCTCTGATAATTGGCAGTGTTCCCCTTCCTTAATTCTGGCCCCCATGGTTAGCATGTTTCATTCAAAATTATTAGAGTGACTATTATATATTAGGGACTATGACCATGTACTGAATTTGAAAAGTGAAAAAATAATGTCCCACCCTCAGGGCGTCTCAGTCCTTGTGGGGGAGACAAACACATACAAATACAGCTGACTCTTGAACAACATGGGTTTGAACTGCATGGGTTCACTAATATGTAGATTGTTTTTTCAATAAATATATTGGGAAAAATTTTGGAAATTTGCAACGATTTTTTAAAAAGCTCAAAGTTGAACCACACAGCCAAGTAATATTTTAAAAATTAAGAAAAAGATATGCCATGAAAATGTAAAATATATGTAGATTTCAGCCTATTTCATCACTTACTATCATGCAATGTACATAAATCTTACAAAAAGTTAAAATTTATTGATGGGTGGATCACGTGAGGTCAGGAGTTCGAGACCAGCCTGACCAATATGGTGAAACCCTACCTCTACTAAAAATAACAAAAATTAGCCGGGCATGGCAGCACATGCCTGTAATCCCAGCTACTCAGGAGGCTGAGGCAGGAGAACTACTTGAACCTGGGAGGAGAAAGTTGCAGCAAGATCGCGCCACTGCACTCCAGCCTGGGTGACAGAACAAGACTCTGCCTCAAAAAAAATAAATAAAAACTTATACACATGAACATATTGAGACCATGCATGGCACTGTAGAGAGAAAGGTAAACAAATGTAAAAATGCAGTATTAAATCATAACAGCATAAAATTAACGGTAGTATACACCATACTACTATAATAATTTTGTAGCCATCTCCTGTTGCTATCGCAGTGAGCACAAGTATTTCCAGTGTTTGCTTAAAATGACTTGTGATGCTAATCATTTTCTCCTGAGCAATTTGTCAGACCAGTAAACTGTGTATTGCAGTAAAAACTAAAAAAAATAAAATAAAACCTCCTGTTGTTCTTGTGTATTTTTCATCTTGTTTAATGCCATGCTGTAACCTTGAATAACACCGTAGGACTCATACAAAGTACCTCTAGTAATGCTGAAAATGCTCCCAAGAAGGAGACAAATCCACAACATCACAGGAAAATGCTGAATGCCTTGATGTGTACCACAGATTGAGGTCTGTAGCTGCAGTTGCCCACCATTTTAAAATAAATGAATCCAGCATATGGACCATGGTAAACAAAAGAAAATAAAATTCATAAAGCCATCACTGCAGCTACACAAGCAGGTGTGAAAACATTGCATTTTTTGTGAAACACCTTTTTATCTTGTATTGAAAATGCAGCTTTTATGTGAGTGGAGGATTGCTAAAAGAAAGGCATGCCTACAGGCTCTAATGTGATTCAAGAGAAAGCAAAGTCATTATATGACAACTTAAAGCAAAAGAAAGGTAAAGGATCTAAAGGTGAGATTTTAATGCTAGCAAAGGATGGCTTAATAATTTCAAAAAGACGTTTGGCTTAAAAAATGTCAGGGTAACAGGAGAAGCATTTTCTGCCAACTAAGAGGCAGCAGACGAGTTCCCAGACACCATTAAGAAAATCATTGAGGAGAAAGGATATCTGCCTGAACAGGTTTTTAATGCAGATGAAGGTGCCCTCAAAAAAAAAAAAAAAAAACACAAAGGAAATTTATTAGTAAGGAAGTGAAGTGAGCACTAGGATTTAAGGTAGGGAGGAGTAGGCTAACTCAACTCTTTTGTGAAAGCGCAGTTGGGTTTAGGATCAGGTCTGTCCTTATAAAGCTTCTAACCCCTGAGCCTTGATGGGCAAAGATAAATGCCAGCTGCCAGTCTTTTGGCTATACAACAAGGCCTGGACAAGAGCCCCTTTTCTGGATTGGTTCCATCAATGCTTTGTTCCTGAAGTCAGGAAATACTTTGCCAGTAAGAGACTGCTTTTAAAGTTCTTTTCACATTGGACAATGACCCTGATCACACAGAACCCCATGAGCTCTACACTTTGAAGGCATCAAAGTGGTCTACTTGCCCTCAAACACAATGTCTCTAATTCAGCCTCTAAATCAGGGGGTAATAGGATCTTTAAGGCTCATTATACACAGTACTCTTTGGAAAGGATTGTCAGAGCTATGGAAGAGAGCTCCAACAGAGAGAACATCATGAAAATCTGGAAGGATTACACCACTGAAGATGCCACTGTTGCTATAGAAAAAGCCATGAAAACCATCAGCCCAAAAGAATAAATTCCTGCTGGAGAAAACTGTGTCCCAATGTTGTGCATGGCTTTACATGATTAATGAGAGAGCCAGTCAAGGAAATTGTGAAATAATTTGTGGATTTGGCAAAAAAAAAAAAAAAAAAATGGGAAGAGGTGAAGGGTTTCAAGATATGGATCTTGGAGAAATTCAAGAGCAAATAGACACCACACCAGAGGAATTAACAAAAGATAACTTGAAGTATTCATGATTTCATGGAGATGAGTCCTTCCAAACAAGTACCAGATCATGAAGAAGATGAAGAAGAAGCAGTGCCAGAAAACAAGTTGACATTAGACAACCTGGAAGAAGGGTTCGCATTACACAATACGGCTTTTGACCTCTTTTACAACTGAACCCTTCTACGATATGGGCACTGAAGCTAAAGTAAACTGTAGAAGAAGGACTGGTGTTATGTAGAAACATTTTTAGAGAAATGAAAAAGCAAAAAAGTCAGACAGAAATTATGATATACTTTGTAAAGCTTCACTGAGTATGCCTGCCTCTGCCTCCTTTTCCACTTCCTCCACCAGCTCTGCCTATGCCTCCCCGAGGCAGCAGAACCAAACCCTCCTCTTTTTCCATCTCCTCAATCTACTCAGCATGAAGATGATGAGGATGAAGACCTTCATGATGATCCACTTCCACTTAATAAACAGTGAATGTATTTTCTCTTCCTTATGGTTTTCTTAATAACATATTGTTTTCTCTAGCTTATTTTATTATAAAAATACAGTATATAATACATACAGCATACAAAGTATGTGTTAATTGACTGTTTATTTTATCAGTATGGCTTCAGTCATCAGTAGGCCATTAGTAGTTAAGTTCTGGGGGAGTCAAAAGTTATGGGCAAGTCTTCAAGTGCACGAGGTGTCAGTGCTTCTAACACTTGCACTGTTCAAGGGTCAACTGTGCAACAAAGCCACATTGTGACACTGCTACAATGGAGGCTTTTCAAGGTATAATAAGAACACAGAGGAAACATAGTGTAAATCTATCTTAGCCAATTAGGTAGACTTCACTCTGAAGATACTCTTGAGTCAATGTCTAAAAAAGCAAGTTTAAATTTTTCGTATGAAATGTATACACAAAAACTTTTCTAGTAATTATCTTTGGTTGGGATACTCATTTTCATATATATATTTCATTTTAAAACCAATATGCTCAAATTGGAAGAAATGTGTCTGTGAACTGCCGTGTGTCTTCTCTTAATCCTATGGTTGACTGACAGATTAATGCTCTATTTCCCACTGTCTAATTTGTCTATCTCAACTAATGACTGGAAAAAACTCTAGGGGTACTTTCTTTTATAAACCACATCTCAACCATCAGCACATTCTGCTGGCTTTTCTTTTAAAAATACATCCTGATCATGGAGGTACAGGGTTCCTCTACCCATACTGAATTGAAAAAAGCATTAGGAACTAAAATTTAGTTAACATCAGCCTTGGAATGCATGGAAATTTATCCTAGATTCTTCTATACTATGAATGCTGGGAGTAGTTCTTAAAATTTTTTGGTATGAATTTTCCTAAGTATTTTAGAGGGTAATTGAGTGAGGCTAATTCAGTGGCCACTAGTCAATTTTCTTTGTGGTGGTGGTGGTTGAGCTGACAATTGCAGAATTAGTGTGATCTATTTTTTCTATTTTAGTAAGTGAGGAAGGCATCCTAGGGGGAGGGAACAGCACACTGTGCAATTTACTCCCATGTTTTTTTTTTTTTTTGTATAGGAAAAGAGAAATCAGAATGTAGAATTGGTTGGTGGCTTAAGCGCTAGTGTGAAAGAATGTTCCAGGTGTTTCTACCTCAGCTGACAGATTAAATGGTCCAGGCTTGGCAGCAAAGAAATTATGATTTAAAAAATGACTGTTGGACTTGGGGAAAGTGACAGAATTAAGATTACCAAAAATGTCATCTGAGTTTCCAAGATTGGTGGTGTTGAAGGAATGAGGAAGGCCAAAAGAAAGTGATTATAAAGTGGTAAGTTTGAGCTTCCAGAGACAGTTGTGGGTGATAAAAGTTACTGAGCAGGGCTACAGAGGTGGGAGGCTGAAGCTGAAGCTGAAGAGAAATGAGATCATGGATAAACTCAAAGAGCTATGAGATTCGGCTGATGAAATTAAAGGCCCATCTTTACAGATGTTGAAACTGACAAGAATGATTGCAGATTTGAAATGGAGAGGAAGAAATTAACCCAAGTGACAAGTTTCTTGTCAAATATGTTGGATGAGCCAGGCATGGTGGCCCGCTCCTGTAGTCTCAGCCCCTTGGGAGGTGGAGGCAGAAGGATCATTTGAACCCAGGAATTTAAGGCCAGCCTAGGCAATATAGTGAGACCTCGTCTCAAAAGAAATAATAATAAAAAAGAGTTGAATGGTTCAAAAGCTACTAGATGATAGTAAGAAAAAGTAGCAAAGATATGTTGAAAAATCCCTGCTAATACCAGAGAGTAAAGTTTTAATTAAATAACCCAGCTTCAGTGTCATCCTTGGCTAGCAAAATTTCTGTTTTGTGAGGGAAAATGGCAGCTAAAGTTACCAAGGGCTAAGGGAATGTGCTGAGGGAAAGGAGTATAGGAAACCATGTGAATGAGGAAGTGGGAGAAGAAGGACTAGACCACTGGATGGGATCTGAATCCTAATGGTTACTGAATTGTACAGGGATAAGAAACATGAGGAAATTTATCCAGAGGTTTCCAACCTTGCCGAGAGATGTCTCAGTGAGACCACTTGCTCCTGTCTTGTACTTTCCTGTATCTTCAACTCTTCTCTTCTTGGAGACCAAATGGCTTTTGTTAAAGTCTCTACATTAGATGGCAGGCCAAATACTGAAAAGGTGCAGGTTATCTGGCCTCTAAAGCTTCTGAATTTATTAGGAAATTTGTTATGTCACATGCCAAGGCCCTGTGAGCATTTGGGCTTGTTGTTCCTATTCTAGATAAAATCTGTCCCTGGATCAAGTCAGAACATCAAAGAGTTGGTGACCTAGGCTGTACTGTTTCAGTCCCTAAACAGACTTATGTGAGCAGACCTAATAAACTTGCTTCAGTTATTTACGAACTGGTGGGAGGAAGATCAATCTGGCTAGAGTCTGGATAACGGAATGGACTGGATTATTTAGGAGCAAGAAAGGAAGTGAGAAGAATATGAGAGACTGCTGATTTGGACTAGGCTGGTCATGGTAGAGATGGAGAAAAGTGGATGAATTCGGTAAGTTTTGGGGATGGATGGCTTACTGATGAATTAAATGGGAATTTGAATGCACTTCCAGAAATTCTACCAATTAGAAATTCATTGGGTTTGCAAGCTTCTTTTATAAAAATGCAAATACATCTAAGAGGCTTATACTGGGGTGAGGGTATAATTTAGTCTGAATTAGTTCCATCAGCTTACTTTCTGCTATTACCTAGCTGAAGTCAGTCATATTAAAGAGATGAGAATTTTACTTGGGAGTGGAATGTTTTGCATAAGGAATATAATCATGTTTGGGAGAGAGGTGAGATTCTTTGGAATGACAGAAGCATTAAGGAGCCCACAGAATCCACAGAGAGGGGGTATCAGGATTTGAGAACACAGAGAACAAGCAAACTTTAACCTTCTCTGAAAGTTTGCTTAGAATATTAGACCTGGGATATTAAGAGTAATCATCAGTGCCACCTAAAATAAATAACTATTATTGGTCAATGTTTAAAAATTATTTTAATTATATTAAATATAAATTATATATTAATTATATTATTTTGAAGATATATTTTATATTTGGTAGTAAATAGTATCTATAATTTTTAAAGCTCTGTCTTGTTTTTGATACAACAAAAGGTGTTTTTACCTATTATTTTTCTTTATATACTCACATGTTACTTTTAAAATGAGGACACAAATCCTAAAATGTTCAAAATGCTATCTTTGAATACAAGTCCTGGTATATTTCAAGCTTCACATGAAGGTCAGTGCTCAGAGCTAAGATAAAACTACTGGAATGAATGAGTTATGGCCAAAAATTGGGCAAACTTTTAACCAGGATTTTTTAGATGGCGATGCTGTACTAAAAAGAACAAAAACAACAACTCACAGCCCAAGCAAAACAGTTCTCTTATGTTTTGTTTTATACTTGTCTTTCAAATATGATGAAAAATTCCCTTTTATCAAAATGAGCAAACTTAATAAAAAGCAACAAAAAACATTAGCAACAAATTTGGGCCAACTAACAAGTATGACACTTTTTTTTCAAAAGGCAAAGCATTAAATGGCAAGATAAAAATAAATCTTTGTGCTAGCCAGTAAAAATTCCGTGGATGTGTGCCCTTCAATGTGAGTCACAAGTCTAATGTCAGGTACACTCTGGCTATGGAATGGAACAGACTGTGTTAGCCTTACGTGCGATCTCCAATCACTCCACTGCATCTAGCCAACACTCTGTCCTGCCTCACTTGCATGGGTTCCAGCCACATTTACCAGCATGATCATCTCTCCTTTCTTAGCATTCCTGTCTCTACCTACTACTGAAGATAAAGTCTGTGACAAGTCTATATGGGGAAAAGGCACAGCAGAATTATGGGATTTCAGCATTATTGATCATTGCCAAACTTTGTATTTTTAGAGAGAAGAAAACTGAAGTACAAGTAAGTTTTAAGTCTTGCTCAGAATTATACGATAACTAAGCCTCAGAGTTAGGACTTGTTAGGTATTCCTCTCTGAAATTGTTGGAGACACTGCTCTATCTATCTTTAATATTTCTGCACATTTTGCAAACAGAGGCACTGACCACATTTGTTCTGAACTAGCTTTTCAAAGATATTTATATAGTGGAAAGCCTTGAAAAAGAGATAGTGCCTCACTCCAGAGCAAAGGAAAGTTTATATTTTTGTCCAGTATAATAAATTTAATGTCTCCCTCTGGGGCAAATGGTAGGCATACTCACTGCACATTATTAAAGATTCAAACTTCCTAAGCTCTGGGTTCCTCTTTTGAAATGCAAACCACTAACAACAGACAAACAGAGAGCCAAATCATGAGTGAACTCCCATTCACAATTGCTTCAAAGAGAATACAATACCTAGGAATCCAACTTACAAGGGATGTGAAGGACCTCTTCAAGGAGAACTACAAACCACTGCTCAATAAAATAAAAGAGGATACAAACAAATGGAAGAACATTCCATGCTCATGGGTAGGAAGAATCAATATTGTGAAAATGGCCATACTGCCCAAGGTAATTTATAGATTCAATGCCATCCCCATCAAGCTACCAATGACTTTCTTCAAAGAATTGGAAAAAACTACTTTAAAGTTCATATGGAACCAAAAAAGAGCCCACATTGCCAAGTCAATCCTAAGCCAAAAGAACAAAGCTGGAGGCATCACACTACCTTACTTCAAACTATACTACAAGGCTACAGTAACCAAAACAGCATGGTACTGGTACCAAAACAGAGATATAGACCAATGGAACAGAACAGAGCCCTCAGAAATAATGCCACATATCTACAACTATCTGATCTTTGACAAACCTGACAAAAACAAGCAATGGGGAAAGGATTCCCTATTTAATAGATGGTGCTGGGAAAACTGGCTAGCCATATGTAGAAAGCTGAAACTGGATCCCTTCCTTATACCTTATACAAAAATTAATTGAAGATGGATTAAAGACTTAAATGTTAGACCTAAAACCATAAAAGCACTAGAAGAAAACCTAGGCAATACCATTCAGGACATAGGCATGGGCAAGGACTTCTTGTCTAAAACACCAAAAGCAATGGCAACAAAAGCCAAAATTGACAAATGGGATCTAATTAAACTAAAGAGCTTCTGTACAGCAAAAGAAACTACCATCAGAGTGAACAGGCGACCTACAGAATGGGAGAAAATTTTTGCAATCTACTTATCTGACAAAAGGCTAACATCCAGAATCTACAAAGAACTCAAACAAATTTACAAGAAAAAAACAAACAACCCCATCGAAAAGTGGGCAAAGGATATGAACAGACACTTCTCAAAAGAAGACATTTATGCAGCCAAAACACACATGAAAAAATGCTCATCATCACTGGCCATCAGAGAAATGCAAATCAAAACCACAATGAGATACCATCTCACACCAGTTAGAATGGCCATCATTAAAAAGTCAGGAAACAACAGGTGCTAGAGAGGAGGTGGAGAAATAGGAACACTTTTACACTGTTGGTGGGACTGTAAACTAGTTCAACCATTGTGGAAGTCAGCGTGGCGATTCCTCAGGGATCTAGAACTAGAAATACCATTCGACCCAGCCATCCCATTACTGGGTATATACCCAAAGGATTACAAATCATGCTGCTATAAAGACATATGCACACGTATGTTTTTTGCGGCACTATTCACAATAGCAAAGACTTGGAACCAAGCCAAATGTCCAACAATGATAGACTGGATTAAGAAAATGTGGCACGTGTACACCATGGAATACTATGCAGCCATAAAAAATGATGAATTCATGTCCTTTGTAGGGACATGAATGAAGCTGCAACCTTCATTCTCAGCAAACTATCGCAAGGACAAAAAAACAAACACCACATGTTCTCACTCATAGGTGGGAATTGAACAATGAGAACACATGGACACAGGAAGGGGAACATCACACACCAGGGCCTGTTGTGGGGTGGGGGAATGGGGGAGGGATAGCATTAGGAGATATACCTAATGTTAAATGACGAGCTAATGGTTGCAGCATACCAACATGGCACATGTATACATATGTAACAAACCTGCACGTTGTGCACATGTACCCTAAAACTTAAAGTATATAAAAAAAAAAGAAATGCAAACCACTAAGTATAGTTGATTAGTTTTAGGACTGCACCCCACCCCCTGTGCCCCCCAGCCATGGATACTAAAATCCATGGGTGCTCAAGTTCCTCATATAAAATGATGTCGTATTTGCATATAATCTATGCAATCCTCCTGTATATTTTAAGTCATCTTTAGATTACTTATAATACCTAACACAATGCCTGCATATCACTTCATTCCACGGATTCAATGTAATACTCAACATGCAGCAAATTCAAGTTTTGCTTTTTGGAACTTTGTGAGACTATTTTTCCTAATACTTCTATCCATGGTTGGTTGAATCCAGGGATGTGGAACCCACAGATACAGAGGGCCAACAGCCTTCAGTGAACTGGTACATGTGCTGATAGTTGGCTTACCATTATTGCTATAAATAAAAAAGTCACTGGTCTCTGACCTAGGCATCTCATGTCTTCTACCAATAACCATGAAACTGAGACAGGTTGACCTGTAAGCTTGTGAGAGGGGGTAAGATCTTCACAGTTTTTGACCGAAAGATAAAATCTTAGTGATAATTTATCATGTAAAGGGAGAAAATATTAAGTGTTCTGAGGCCTTTTGCCTCTGGATTTTTGTCTGCTTGATTTTTCAAATCCAGGGTAATCCAGTTACCATTATTTGGACATTATGTGTTAGGAATAATGTATAATATGTCTTATTCTTCAAATTAAGTTATATATACACACATATACAATCTGCCTTTTAAAATTAAACCTATGAAATGGGTATTCTTAACCCCACTTTGTGGATTAAAAAAACAAAAAACAAAAAACCCCTGAAGTCACACAGAGAATAAGTGGCAGAGCTAAAATCACTGGTTTCAAAATTTGTGTTTTGTCAACCTCCAAATGAAACACAGCTTAAAATTACACAGGACATTTTGCCTTTTGATATAATGTCTAGATTATATAGTATTATGTTTAGTTTTACTATTACACCTTTATAATCATACCCTATATTTAGGTGCTGACACGTCACTACCTAATCTGTATTCAATATTAAATATTCAGTATTCACAACAAATAAAATTTTAATTTTGTGAATATTGAATTATATATTTATACCAACAGTCTACAACAAAAGCTACGCTTTATAAAACTTAGATCAGAAAATAATGCTGCAGACATTTCTTTAAAGCTACACGTGTAAGAAAATTATCTTCATCTAGAGAAAGATAACATGATGGTAGAAATAATTCCATTTAAAAAGCTGTGCATTCTGTGAAACTATCTTGTTATTCACAGAGATAAATACAAAATTAATGCACTAAACAGAATGTAGAAAGAACTACAAATGCCTAGAACTTAGATGTTCTCGAGAATAAAAAAAATGTTTGAAGCAAAAGAAGATAGAAAATACTTCTTAGTTTTACAGAAGCAAATGTAAAATATAAACTTATGTAAGAATTGCTTGGGGAACTTTTTAAAACACTGGTAATCTATTTCTGACCATAAACAGCCTTTCATTTCTATGATTTTATTCTGTTAAGTACAAAGCTGAAGAAACTTAATGTTCTGGATCAAGCATTCTGAAATGTAAATAGCAACAAAGAAAAACACTTTAAAATCTGTAGGTTCTGGTCAAAAGTAAAAATTTCTTCAGATTGCCTTTTCTAAAGAATTTCTGGATATTTTAATATTGTATTAACGAAAATAATTATTTTATTTGCTTCTCCCCAAAACATTACTTTTTTCATATGATGAAAAACTCTCCAGCTAGAGTTTACAAAAACAAAAAAAATTCAGCTTATGTAGTCAGTTATAATTGTCATATAAAACAATAACTACAGAACCAAATTTACATAGCTGTTTAGTTTAGATATGTATCTTAAATTGAAAGTTGAATTGAGATTATTTTATTTTAATTCTCAGTAAATATCAGTCGATGACTTCAGTCTTTACAGTGGAACATGCCAGTGTGGTTTACGTTTGGAGTGGGAGCAGAAACCCCAATGGGAAAGTTGATGGATTAAGATAGATTATTTGTTTCCTGATTCAACTAGGAGACAAATTAACTAGTTAACAAATCAACTAGGAGACAAAACAAAATTAAAGCTATGTAGATCTAAGTTTTAATTATGTAGTAAAGAACTTTCTGGGGACATAAACTATTAAACATTAAATGTGTTTTAAACAAGAAATTTGAGGAACCCTTTCACTGATGGCTTTTAAAGTAGGCCATCATTTTTTCTATGAGGGCTTATTTCATCTATGAGGGTTCATATACCTTCTGATGCTTTTTCCACTCTGGGAACCTATGAGGAAACTGAAGATGGTAATTTTTGTCCCAAATTCCTAACATAGTTAAAATGCAGAATTTATTCATTCAGTGTCCTGTATTTAACACACAGACAAATTGAGAGGATTCCAGAAAGGAGAAACAATGTTTTTAGGATCAGAATAATTTAATCATAAAGAAATATATACTTTGATAAAAACCCCCAAGTGTTACATAACTGAGAACTACTGTAATTACTTTAAAAATAAAGCAGCAATTGTTTTAAAAACAAATAGAAAGGAGAACAAGAAATATATTCATCTGGCAAATCAGAAGGCAAAACTAAAAGAACACCAGTGTTACGTTACGGTTGTTATTCCTCACTTTAGGTCTTTTCATTGGCAAAGCGTTGTGAACTGCGGAAGATCTGTGATTGCCGAATTGATAGACAAAGTAGCAACAGATGCTGACCTGAGACCATGTTAGCTGCTTCTGCTAAGGGAGCCTGCATATCTCACATGTTTAAGCCTAAGGAAGCAAACGAAAGATTACCTGGGAATCTTCTAACTATTTGACATAATCCTTCCTTTCTGCAAAGTGGCTGCTGTATTTCTGGTAATCTGTTTGCCTGAAAGGAATGAAAAAGATTCTAGTGAGTGAGGCATTCATCAACGCTAAAGCAAAACCAAGCAAACACAAAAAACCCAGAGAGTATAGATGGGATGCACTGTCTAAACCACCCACACCCCACCTTCAAATCTCTGCAAGTCAACATGCAAATCCAGAATAATGAAGTAGCTTATTTGATAACATAAAACTAAAACTTGCCCCTGGGAAGCTTTAAAAGTGGTCCTTGGGATCACTTTTTGAAAACCCTTTCATATTTTGAAGCCATGATATTTGCTAAATATAAAAGAAAATACTTGAGACAAATATAGTAACATAAATAACTTGATATTTAGTGGCAATTCAGTGTTAAACCCGTTCCAAAATTTCATAAACATTCTTCACTTCATACTGAAGGGATTATTTCTAAATATAAAACCCAGTCACCCACAAAACTTCACTTCAACCAAAACTTGTTTTTAGACAGCTTTGTAAATATTATCATAAATTCAAATATATGGAGTTTGAAAAGATTATAAAAGATACAACTTTAATTCTTCCCTTCTCCTGTGAATCTACAAATTGATTAACATCATCCACTTAATCCCCAAACTAATACCCAATATGAGAAAACCTTGTTAAAACCAACAGATCAGTATAAATTAGCTTGAAAATCAGATTCATTTTTGAGATATTGATTACTTTCAAATTAACACACTCTAACCTAATAAAGTATTGCAGCACTATGTCCTGCTGGCATGACTTGATAGAAATAACCCAGCTGCAGTTGGAGAAGAGAGGCAACTGGAAACAGGGGTGGTAGCTCGCTTCGGGCACTTAAGAGAATCATCATTTGCTTTTTTTTTTTTTTTTTTTTTCAGTTTCTTCATTTGCAAAATAAAGCATTTAGAGCTTTTAGTCTCTAGGTTCCACTTCTGCTCTAAGATTTTTACCAAATCAATAAGATACAGTTCTAAAAACTGATTCATTTAAAGTGCTTGGCAACTGTGCATTGATGAAATCTTCCCCAATCCTTGCTACTTTATTAACCCTGTTCATGTGTTCAGCAAACTCTCTTTTCCCCGATAATAGCTGTAAGAAGGAAAAACTTCAGCCCAGATCCTGTATGAATGAAGCCTAGCTTCAGCAGAACCTATTATTGTGATTCTGCACCAGTGGCATTCCTAAACACTACATTGTAAAAGTCCACAAGGACACCAAAGTGTTTATTAGTCCTTTTTCATGCTGCTGCTGAAGACATACGCGAGACTGGGTAATTCATAAAGAATAAGAGCTTTAACGGACTCACAGTTCCACGTGGCTGGGGAGGCCTCATAATTATGGCAGAAAGTGAAAAGCATACCTTACATGGTGGCAGGCAGGAGCGAATGAGGGCCAAGTGAAAGGGAAAATCCCTTATAAAACCATCAGATCTCGTGAGACTTACTCACTACCACGAGAATAGGATGGGGGAAACCGCACCCATGATTCAATTATCTCCCATTGTGTTCCTCCCACAACACGTGGGAATTATGGGAGCTATAATTCCGGATGAGATTTGGGTGGGGACACAGCCAGAACATATCAAAGTGGACGTCACTGACATTCATTTGCACTAAGAATTGAGAAAAGGCTGTAAGTGCAGTACACTTTCAATCTTAAGGCTGTCTCGATTTCTCAAATCCAAAAGTGAGAAATCTCAGAAACTAAATGTAGAAAAAGAAGGGCTTTCATAAACCCTGAATTCTTCAATCCAGAATTTAAAAAGGGCTGGAGGGAACAAACAGCATTGCAAAAGTATAGATAACCCATAATAGACTAATAAAAAGGACTAATACACACTTTGGTGTCCGTATGGACTTTTACAATGTAGTGTTGTAATAGAGATTTTTTGTTTGTTTGTTTTTTAAGTTCACAAAGTATCTTTCTAAATTAGTCTGTGAAAAGCTTCAAAAATCAATGAAATTGAGCCATTTTCCCTAAATAGGGCAAAATCATTCCGTTGCTGGTGAATTAATAGAATCCTTAACAATATGATTCAGAAAGAGAATCAGCACTGGGTAAGTAGCATTAAAGGTTATGGACTGACTCTGATCCATTGCTAACCTTCTCTTAACCAACAAAGCACTTGAAAATAATAGAGCCAAGCCAAGGGAAACAATTGTTCTATCCTTCTGCCTTCTATTTTCCTGTCCCCCAAACAATGACTTCTCCCTGTGTTCCTTCCTCCAAAGTTCATCTTTAGAATTAATAGTGTGGCTGACGACATGACTGTAGCAACATGTGACACCAGAAACATCACCTCTATTCTACTCTGGAACTGAACACCAAACTAAGCAGTTAAACTGAGTAAAATAACAGCACAAAGAAGTAAAAACATTCAAGGGTCATGTGTCATACAGCTGTAGTAACTCAACTATATTACACAGATTATAACTTTTTAATTGTTAAACCTAGTAATACTCTTCTATATCCTACTGCTTCGTATTTTTACTTTTACACGTATCATAAAATGTATAAGATTTGCATCATTAAGTGGAACATCATCAAAGGAGTTTTAATTTGGATTCACTGACTTTTATATGATGAGCTTCTCCAGCTTAACATTGCAATTATTTTTTAATGGACTTTATTTCTTATAGCTGTTTTGGGTTCACAGCAAAATTAAGCAGAAGACACAGAGATTTCCCATATACTCCCTGCCCCAACACACACACAGCCTCCTCCATTATTAACATCCCCCACCAGAGTGGGCCATGTGTTACACTTGATGAACCTACATATCATTATCATCCGAATTATCATTTTTTATCATTTTTAATATATACAGATCTTGTGTTAGGTTTGAATGCCATATATACAATATGCATCTATGTGTATGTGTGTATATTTATACACAGACATTTTTCTTATTTAGCACAAATCCTTTCATATCTTTAAAAGAATTACAATGCACTGATAAAATGATAATAATATTTAAACCCTAGGATATTTCCATGAGATCAATTTTTGAAAAAGGGAATATGCATTAGAAGAGATTTCTATCCCAATATACCTTTCACAATCCTAATGTGTCTGGAATTGGTGGGTTCTTGGTCTGACTTCAAGAATGAAGCCGCGGACCCTCACAGTGAGTGTTACAGTTCTTAAAGGCGGCGTGTCCGGAGTTTGCCCCTTCTGATATTCAGATGTGTTCGGAGTTTCTTCCTTCTGGTGGGTTCGTGGTCTCGCTGGCTCAGGAGTGAAGCTGCAGACCTTCGCGGTGAGTGTTACAGCTCTTAAGGTGGCGCGTCTGGAGTTGTTCGTTCCTCCCGGGGGGCTCGTGGTCTCGCTGGCTTCAGGAGTGAAGCTGCAGATCTTCGCAGTGAGTGTTACAGCTCATAAAGGCAGTGTGGACCCAAAGAGTGAGCAGCAGCAAGATTTATTGCAAAGCGCAAAAGAACAAAGCTTCCACAACGTGAAAAGGGACCGGAGCGGGTTGCCACTGCTGGCTGGGACAGCCTGCTTTTATTCTCTTATCTGGCCCCACCCACATCCTGCTGATTGGTAGAGCCTGGTAGAGCCCAGTAGTCTGTTTTGACAGGGCACTGATTGGTGCGTTTACAATCCCTGAGCTAGACACAAAGGTTCTCCACCTCCCCACCAGATTAGCTAGATACAGAGTGTCCACACAAAGGTTCTCCAAGGCCCCTCCAGAATAGCTAGATACAGAGTGGACTGGTGCATTCACAAACCCTGAGCTAGACACAGGGTGCTGATTGGTGTGTTTACAAACCTTGAGCTAGATACAGAGTGCCGATTGGTGTATTTACAATCCCTGAGCTAGACATGAAGATTCTCCACGTCCCCACCAGACTCAGGAGCTCAGCTGGCTTCACCCAGTGGATCCCGCACCGGGGGCTGCAGGTGGAGCTGCCTGCCAGTCCCGCGCCGTGCGCCCGCACTCCTCAGCCCTTGGGTGGTCGATGGGACTGGGCGCCGTGGAGCAAGGGGCGGCGCTCATCAGGGAGGCTCCGGCCGCACAGGAGCCCACGGAGGGGGTGGGAGGCTCAGGCATGGTGGGCTGCAGGTCCGGCGAGAAATCGAGCACAGCGCCACTGGGCTGGCACTGCTGGGGGACCCAGCACACCCTCCGCAGCCGCTGGCCCGGGTGCTAAGCCCCTCATTGCCCGGGCCGGCAGGGCCGGCCGGCTGCTCCGAGTGCAGGGCCCGCCAAGCCCACGCCCACCCGGAACTCCAGCTGGCCCGCAAGCGCCGCGCGCAGCCCGGGTTCCCGCTCGCGCCTCTCCCTCCACACCTCCCTGCAAGCTGAGGGAGACGGCTCCGGTCTTGGCCAGCCCAGAAAGGGGCTCCCACAGTGCAGCAGTGGGCTGAAGGGCTCCTGAAGTGCGGCCAAAGTGGGAGCCCAGGCAG
Source organism: Homo sapiens (assembly GCF_000001405.40). Lineage (NCBI taxonomy): Eukaryota > Metazoa > Chordata > Mammalia > Primates > Hominidae > Homo > Homo sapiens. The sequence continues at coordinate 121,059,846 of NC_000007.14, read as the reverse complement.
AGGAGGCGCCGAGAGCGAGCGAAGGCTGTGAGGACTGCCAGCATGCTGTCACCTCTCACTAATGTGTGATAATATGCATCTAAATTGTTTCTATTACATATTGTCAGAGGCAAAAGTAAAATATTCTTTTGAGACAATCTGTTAATAAGGCAAAAATATATTAATTATAACCATTTATGGAGTGCTTATAAATTAAAAAACTAAAACTACAATAATATTATGAATTTATTAGGAAGCGTGAACACCTGAATTTGAACTAGTTACAAAATGTAAGAAAACACTGGAGGGGGAAGAAACTGATTTTTTTTATTGTTCCTGAACATTAAGAGTGACACACACATCATGTTGCATTTTAGAGAAATGCTCTTTTTCCTCATATCTGTAGAAATGTTCATGCTTTTACTTGAACAAAAATTAGAACTTCTCCCAAAGCTGTTCATTATCATCCACAATGAAAAGAATTAATGACGAGGAATTAGGAGAACCAGCTGATCAAAAGAAAAATGTGTTTTCTCCCCATGTCTCAAGTGCAATTATCATTCCATCAAATTCACCTGAAAATTCCCTGGGATGCTTTAAAATAAGAGCCATTTGGTAGTTCTCAGTACTCCTATGTACTAAGAACAGCATCCTAGCTTTAGGGACTGCTAATCCTACAACAATTTAGAGCTAGAAATCAATCTCTCTGCTTTTGAAACACTAGCACCTGTCTACTTGCGGTGAGATACAGCCCCAATTACTAAACTTAGTGTTACCCCAAATAATGGACCTCGCTTCACTTTTATCATCACACAGACTAATGGTTTTAAATTCATGTTACTATTCTGCTGACTGGGGAGACTCCTGGCAGTTTATTTTCAATAACAGATCTTATGACCATTTTCATTAAGCTCTAAAATTATGAAGCTCTAATGGGATTAGTAATCTTAATTTGAGCCAGTGTCCTCTCTTTGTTCATTATAAGGTTATTGACAATTCTACAACATCTCCAACAAATTTGAACCAACTTCTGTTGTGAATATCTATGTTGTTTACATAATAAAGTCTTGGTTCATAAAGCTTCAAATTATTCCTGTTATAGAGTGACAGTTATCTACATGTATCATTTAGAATCTGTGTTTCCTTAAGAATACTCATTAGGTTAGGCTGTAGGTGCTTTGCCTAAATACATCAAAAGGTGCTATTGATATGATTAAGAAAACATAAAGTTGAAATGAGACTGCCTGAGTTTGCATCTTGGTCGTTTTATTAGCTAGGAGGTCTTAGACAAGTTTTATAACCTCTCTGTGCCTCAGTCTCCTCATCTGTAAAGAATGGACATAAATAAACATGTAAGCACTTGGGATGGTGCCTGGCAAGCAGTAAGGAGATGTAAGTGTGAGCTATTATTATTTGTCATTTATACCTTTAAAATGTCTTCAGGATCTAGCCACAGCTCACCACCCCATTGCTATTCTGCTAGCCCATGTCCCTCTCATCTCACACCTACATTATTACGATAATTAGTCTCCCTGTTTTGGTCTTTGCTTGATGGATAGCTTACTTCGACAAAACAATCAAGGCAATCCTGTAAAAATGCCAATGGACTCATGTCATCTGTCATCTGCGTGCTCAGAATCATCCAATTACTCTCCACTTAACAAGAGTAAAAGCCCGCAGTCCTTACGACAGTTCCAATGGCCCCATCGCTGAGCTTCCCCAGCTCCAGGTACCTCTCTGCCCTCACCACCTACTACATTCACTCTACTTCAGTCACATGGAACTCCTTACGTTCCTCAACCAAGACTTTCTCCCTTTACTGTAGGCCTATTGTTCCTCTCCTCTGAGTCTTGGTGGATTTACCCCAGACACTGGCATGGGGAGTGCCCTGTCTTCCAGGCCTTACTCAAATGTCACTTTCTTGGTGATCTTAAACTCAATCCCCCAATATTTTGTCTCCTTGCTTTATTTTTCTCCTTAGTGCTCTTTACCATCTATCATATTATTACTTAGCGACTATTTTCCCCCGTCTACCCATAAATGTCTAAGCTTCCCAGTAATATATATTTTTGTCTGTATTGTTTAATTGCTATCTTCCCAGCACCTAAAGTAGAGCTAAATAAATATGTTTAATAAATAATTGTAGAAACAGTGAAGGGATAGATGAATAAATGAATGAATGAATGAGTCAATAAAACCAAGAATAAAGTTATTGAGACATTCTGCAAGTCAAGCCTCTCAGGCCTTTTGTGGCCTTCATCTTGATAAATGGTATTTGTGTAAATTTAGTGTAAAGCCATTATCCTAAGTGAATTAAGTCAGAAACAGAAAATCAAATACTGCATGTTCTCACTTATAAGTAGGAGCTAAACACTGGGTACTCATGGACATAAAGATCACAGTGAGTGAAATTGGGGACTTGCAGAGGAGAAGTGGGGGGCAAGGGTTAAAAAGGGTACTATGCTCAGTACCTGGGTGACAGGATAAAATCATACCCCAAACCTCAGCATTATACAATATACCCATGTAACAAAACTACACATGTACTCCTGAATCTAAAATAAAAGTTGAAATTATTATAAAAATTAGAGGCTGGGCACGGTGGTTCACACCTGTAATCCCAGCACTTTGGGAGGCTGAGGCAGGTGGATCAAGAGGTCAGAAGTTCGAGAACAGCCTGACCAAGATGATGAAACCTCATCTCTACTAAAAATACAAAAAAATTAGCTGAGTCTGGTGGCGTGCACCTGTACTCCCAGATTCTCAGGAGGCTGAGGCAGGAGAATCGCTTGAACCTGGGAGGTGGAGATTTCAGTGAGCCGAGATTGCGCCATTGCACTCCAGCCTAGGCAGCAGAGTGAGACTCCATCTCAAAAAAAAAGAAAAAAGAAAAAATAGAGAGCATGTGTTGTATATTTCAAATAACGAGAAGAGAGGACTTGAAATGTTTTTATCACATAGAAATAATAAATACTCAAGGTTTTGAGTAGCCTATATACTCTGACTTGATTATTGCACATATTATGCATGAAACAAAATATCACATGTACCTCATAAATATGTACAAACATGATGTATGAATTTTTTAAAAGTGAAGCAGGTATAAAGAGAATTAGAGAGCAAACCAAGAGGTTTAACCCATGACAAATAGAAGTTCCAGAAAGTAAAAAGAGGAAAGGGAATGGAGAAATGATTAGAGAAATAATATAAGAACATATCCCAGAGGAGATTTGAAAACTTACAATGGTAAATGTTATTGACACTTTCATTGTCACTATTTTAGCTAAAGTTTTATAAGAATTAGGAGAACACAGTAAAGCATAAAAAGGGGATGTGGAGAGAGAATGGAAAAGGTACTGAGTGTGGGATAAAGGTTTTAGGACTGTCTGCTAAAGCAGTGATTCACAACTAGCATACTTAAATGAATAGAAAATAATGGTATTGCCTCATCCAACTGCCAAATCAATTCAACTATGAATGTTTGTTGTTTTTTTCTTTTTTAATAAGAATTAACAAGGTAAACTTATTTTAAATAGGAGATTGCCCTTCCCTAAAACAGTATTTTTCCTGATGGTAGAACTAACATACATGTATGATAGAATATTTAGTTAAATGTAAAGAGGAAAACAGTAATCACTCATAATTTTTCCAACCAGAAATAAATACCATTCCTAACATTTCAGTTATTCAGTATTTTTCTACACATATTAAAAAACACAATTTGGATTTGGAACATATAAACTGTTTTCTGATTTGCTTATTTTACTCATATTCTGAGCATTTCCATGTGATTAATCATGTATGAGTTTCATATGCATTATTTATTTTTCCAAAATACTTATTTTGGTTCCAATTTTTTACTATAATAAGTAACACTATTATCATAATAATTGTTCAATCCTCTGACCAGAAAGAATAATATGTAAGTTCCAAGAAATAGAATTATTAGATAAAACACATTCAAAATTTTGATTTTTTTGTTTCTATTTTTGATTTCTTCCTTTTTGAAATATCCAGGAAACAAGTGTACTTCTATTCATTTCTGGGAGAAATTGTATTTTCTAACAGTTTCCAAAACATCTCTATAAAACAATTGTCTTTAAATAAATGTACTTTATAGGCTTTGCTGCTCAAGTCATTCATTAAAACAAAGTATTGACTATGGGCCTTGTGATCAACAAATAATAGAGTGAATTTTTACTAGCAACAACAGAAAAAAACTGAACTATATGAATGTATAATTATATTTTATATGTATAATTATATCATAATTATTTATTATATCTATATTTTTACACATATAATTATATTTTATGTCACACCTGTAATTTGTGTTAGTGTTTGTGTAATATACCCACATTTAGTGTGATTAACTATTGTGATTGCTATGTAAATATTGCTTCACAATCAGATAAAAGCTTGAAATAAATGATATGCTTACAGAAAGATTAAAAAATTAATTTACTGTAAAGTAACCCTGAAGGCAGGAAATTTATCATGTGTGACTTTCTCTATTTTTTAAATAAAAGGAACTGCAACTTGCCACATTTATAGAAACGTTGGGCAGCTTCTTAAAGTTAAAACATTTTAAAAATTTTTAAATTTAAAAGTTTTTAAAGTTTCTTAAAGTTAAACATGTATTTACCAAATGAATCACCCTTAAGAGAGAAAAAGTTATATTCATACAGAAACCTCTATGCAAAGGTTTATGGCAAGTGTTATTCATTATGGCCATAAACTGGAACAAATCCAGATGTCTTTTAACTTTTGAATGAATAAACAGCCTGTGGTACATCCATAAAATTGAATCTTATTCATCAATAAGAAGGAATAAACTGCTAATTGACACAACAGGGATGAATCTTAAATGAGTTTGCTAAGGTGAAATAAGCCAGACCCAAATGCTACAAATTATATGACTCTACTTATATGACCTTCTATTTAAAACAAACAAACAGAAAACAAAAACAAAACAAAAAAACAATAGGGACAGAAAATAAGTCGGTGGTGACTGTTAAGGGTAGGGATCACAGGAGGGGATGACTTCAAAGGTGCAGAACAAGTGAATTTTGGAGATAATGGGACCATTCTGCCATGACTGACGGGTGAGGATGGATGCATAACTATGCATTTGTCAAAACCCATGGAGCTATAAACCACAAATAATGAATTTTACTACATGCAAATTAAAAAAAAAAAACCTCAACCCTGATTTGCAGTGGGGGTGGAGGTTGGGGACTCAAATAATACATAAATTGCAGCAAATGACCCTAACTGTATTACTGAATGACATAGCCACACTGAAGGGAGTGAGGAGAAAAGATATGCCCTACCTTCAGAAAATAATATTTCGACTGAATATTATTAGACAAAAAGACAAGAAGACCACACACAAAACGTTCACTTTTATTAGTAAATTTGTTTCTCACAGGGGTATAGGTTAACAATTCTGAAATTAATGTATGGGTATGCTAGGGTTAAACAATAGGGAAATATGATGTAAATGAGATCCAATTTTCTCACTGTCTGAGAAAGAAGTTACAAATGATGACAGCAGAAGGCTATAATAAACCTTGTGGTGTTGGATGGCAAACACGGGTATGGTAAGAATCAGCTTTTTAATATGTACATATAGAGGCAGACACAGAAATAAATACAAGTGTATGTTTGCATGGATTAGTAGACATACAGATATTTCCAAGCCCTCTCTGCTGAGAGAGCTCAAACTCAATGACACCCTAGTAGCAATGGGCACACCTAGTACCCAGATCTTTGTTTTTAAATATCATTCTGCAATAACAGGAATGGGGTTCCTGGATAAATGGTTAATTCCAGCCTGGGACAGGAAAAATGCAAGATGAATTTGGAGTATCTCTTGGTGCTAAACAGTAAGGAAATGTCCAAGGAAAGAACACATGACATGTCAAAAGGGCCAGGAGTCAACATGAATAAGCTCTCAATGACCAAAGCTGGAACAATTTGAGCAACAACAAAAAATTTAATAACAATAGTACTGATTTATAACCTATAGAATACAACAAATATCCATTAGTCCATACTGACATAAATAAATTATTGAATAAATAAATTCGGGAGAAAAACTAGCTTTTCCTTACAGAAGAATTCCAATTAATAATTATGAAAGTAATAAGAGAAATAGAAAATCACCATTAGAACACCAGAATACAAATTGTTGGGAGCAAGATCCACCTCTGGATCCTAAAATTAGAGGGCAAAATTTGAAGAAAAACAGGATCTTTTTACAGTCTCAAAATATTATCTCCCAAGATGCTTATGAATTATATGGGGAAAAATCCAACAAACACCACCTTAGCCAAGTGATCAAGGTGAACATCACCAGTAACAAGAGACAAGGACATCATATGCCCCTTGATATTTTACACTGAGAAGGGTAGACTGCTTCCAAGAAATTCTTGCCAAAGTTTCATAACCTTATGAAGAAATCATCAGACCAATCCAAATTGAGGATCATTCCACAAAACACCTGACCAGTACTCTTCAAATATGTCAAGGTCTTGAAAGAAAAAAAAAATTGCATCAGATCGAAGGAGAGTAAGGAGATATGAAAACTCAATGCAATGAAGGGTAGTAGATAGGTTCCTAGAGCAGAAAAGGGGCAAACATTTTTTTTAAAAGATGCAATCTGAATGATGTTCATAACTGAGTTAACCGTTCGTATCCATATTAATTTCTTAGTTTTGATGAAAGTACCATGGTTATGTAAGATTTAACATTAAAGTAAGCTCAGTGAAAGGTATTTGGAAAAATCTTTGTATTATTTTTGCAATTTTTCTGTAAGTCTAAAATTATGACAAAATTAAAAATTAAGGCCAGGCACAGTGGCTCACCTCTGTAATCCCAGCACTTTGGGAGGTCAAGGTGGGCGGATCACTTGAGGCCAGGAGTTCAAGACCAGCCTGGCCAACATGGCAAAACTCAGTCTCTACTAAAAATAAAAAAAATTAGGTGTGGTGATGCATGCCTGTAATCCCAGCTACTTGGGAAGCTGAGCGTGAGAATCACTTGAACCCAGGAGGCCGCAGTTGCAGTGAACCAAGATCACGCCACTGCACTCCAGGCCTGAGAGACAGAGTGAGACTCTGTCTCCCAAAAACAATAAAAATTTAAATTTTTAAAAGAGAATATCAGCATAACTGACGCTGTACTTTATAATTTCCTTCTCTACCTATTTCACCCATAACCCCCTTCTCACCTTCTCCATTGTCATCACTGGCTGATCTGCTCTGTTCTCTTCTCATCACATATTCCACTCGCCTCCAGTGACTCACGCAATCATAAAGCTAGCAAGTGTCTTGGAGACTGTCCGGTGTCTAATGCCTTCTTATTTCAGGAAAAGATGGTGAAGGCTACAGAGATTAAATAACGTGATCAAAATCCTTTAGCTAGTGAGTGATGGCGCAAAGGGTTGACCACGAAAGCCCAAGGAGAGGGGACAAAAGAGTCACGGGAAGAGTTTTCGTGTGACTTCGTGTTGTCCAGGTGCCAACCGTATGTTTTGGGGCTCAGGAAACAAAGTGAAGAACTGAGTTAAATAGAATAATGTTCACCTTGGTCTATACTGAATGAAGTCTAGTTTCAATTCAGATAGGACTGATGAATGCAAGGACTTTGGGCATCTCAAAAATTTTACAGCTGTGGGGAGAGATTTTGCACCCCAGGTTGGGAACATAACTATCACAGGAGCCATCAGTGGCAGCCAAAGTAGTATGGGGTGTTCCTCAATGCATTTGGTGTAATGGTCTGAAACAGCATACCAAAAACACTGTTTCTAAGTACGTGGAAGACACTTGCTAGCGAAATAGATGGGAAAGCTTTTTTTTTTTCTTTCATAATTGAGATTTTATTGGATGTGGATCAGTACAGACACTTAAACTTGTACACAATTCTTAACATACATACCGAAAATCTAAAAAGCCACGTATTGTAATTCTTTTTTAAAGTTATTCCAGCGACTTTCCAGCTTAAAATTTGGAAGCAAATTTTCCTTAAGGGGCTATCAATATCTTCACATGTTGATAAGCTGTTACATACATTTCACCAATTCACAACTGAATAGCATATACACTACATATTCAAATTTTTAATCTTTCACAGCATAACAACGTTATTAGGAAAACAGGACTACCACAACCACAGATCTTACAGAGTGCACACAATTCTGACAGGGAGAAGCCAGGATCAAGGAGTGGTTTTCTTTGGAAAACAATTCTACTAAAAAACAGCAAGGGCATAGAAGTAATTTAAAATGTTCAAGACATTAAATGCAGGACTGACTTCATATTTCCATTTAATATGCTTTGTTTTATAGGATATAAAAACTAACCCCCATCTATGGAATGTTAAGCTGACACCCGAGACAGTCAAAGCCTCCCATAATTCAATATCCCACACTATTTTCTGGTTGTGCCAAAAAAATAAACAACCAGCAAATGATTTTACCTCTAAAAAAAAAAAAGGCATTTACATTTAAAAAATGGGAGGAGGTGGGATTCCCTCCTTCTTAAAAATGTTTCTAGAGCTACTAAAAAACTTGCATTTACAAAATAATTGGTAAAAATATTCCTCTGGATTGTACAAGAGGGGAGTCAGGGACTGCTGGTAAGACATGGTATACTGTATTAATCAGACTTGGTTTCTTTCTCTCCTGCTTCATCAGAGGCTGGACTCTCCTCAGTTTTCATTTCCCCGTTTTCTGCAGGTAAATCTTCTTTAGTTTCTTGGTTTGCCACTTTGGCCTGTTTTCCCTTTGCTCTCCTTTTCCCTTTTGTTTGCACATTTTTGCCTGAAGATTTATCCTTCGCTGCTGCCTTTTTCAGCTTCGCTTCCACTTTTGCAGGAGCAGGTTTAGCTGACAACTGCGCCAATCTCCTCTTGGGCTCTTCCTTGATGGTCCCTTCATGACCTTCTTCTTGGGCATCCTGGTGACGAGGAGGGTGCGTGCCAGGTGCCTGCAGGCCTCATCGTACCGAGAGCCTTCGCGAAGCTGGGCTGCCTGGCCGCTGCCGCTCCTCCCGCCGCCTGAGCTGCTGAGACCCACCAGAAAGCTACTTAAGACAACCTGTGGCCGGGCACGGTGGCTCACACCTATAATCCCAGCACTTTGGGAGGCCGAGGCGGTGGATCACCTGAGGTCAGGAGTTCAAGACCAACCTGGCCAACATGGTGAAACCCCGTCTCTACTAAAAATACAAAAAATTAGCTGGGTGTGGTGGCAGACGCCTGTAATCCCAGCTGCTCCAGAGGCTGAGGCAGAAGAATTGCTTGAACCTGGGAGGCGGATGTTGCAATGGGCTGAGATTGCGCCATTGCATTCCAGCCTGGGCAACAAGAGTGAAACTCCATCTCAAAAAAAAAAAAAAAAAAAACCTATATTGCCCCCAAAATACCAATACTAATGCCAATGTGACCTCATTTGTCCTCATTAGCTGGTGAAGCCTGATGTGCATTTGCGGACGACAAAGAAAAAAATAAACCATGTGATAAGTATAGAATTTGAGATATGAATGAGGATTTGTATGAGTATATAGCGAGAGAAAGGCAAGGAAGCCCTGCCTAAAATCCAGGTAAGCAGAATAAAGGTTGTAAGTACAGAGAATAGATAACAGATCTGAGAAATATTTAGAGGATAAATCCCATAGTATTTGCAATTGTAAATGACAAGGAAGAGGAAGGGCTCAAGGATGAAGGCCAGATTTCTATTTTAGGAGATGACAGAGTGGGTGATTCCACTTATAACCAACAAAACAGAAGCTTTGGAGCTTTTGAGGTGATAGTGGTGCTGAGTGTAACAGATTTAAGCAGCTGATTTTAAGGCAAGGGAACACATCAAGGTTTCTCAACCTTGCCACTATGAACATATTTGGCCACACAAGTATTTGTTGTGGGCATTATACAATATTTAGCAGCATCCTTGGCTTTAACCTATAGATGCCAGTACCAAACATCCCCCCAGATGTGACAAAACCAAAACTATCTCTAGACATCGCCAAATATTACTAGAAGAGACAGAATCTTTCCCTGGTTGAAAATCACTGAGGCAAAGAGGACTGAGAAAGAGCATTCCAGGCAGACAAAACAGTAAGAATAAAGGTATGTGACAAAACAGCACAGGCATTTAGGGAACAGTAAGCAGTTTCATATCACTTGCAGCATGACACCCAGTTAGAAACAGATAAGAAAAGGGTATTGTTAGGCAAAAGCCACTCACAAAAAACCTTGAATAGCTTATTGTGCTAAATATTCACCACTTGGCCCTCCAGGTCTCTGCCACCTGCTCTGTCCCCCAGGAGGCTGACGTTTGTGGGTGGCATCACAGAGAATCTCTTGCCCTTTGACCAGCAGTTAGCTCGGACCAATGGGAGGCACTGGCAAGAGATTGGAGGGTAGCAGTAGAGAGAGGTGGGGTGTTTATCCCCAAGGCTCCCTCTCTGCAGGTCTGTGATATGGCAAAAGCTACACTCCCCTAAGTTTACCACACCTTTCCAAGGACACCTCCTTCTTGGTTGCAGCTCTCATTGGATTCTAGCTATGCCCTTCCTTCTACACATCCCTCTTACGACCCAGTGTAGTGAAACTTTTATAATGTTGCTAGTTCCCAAGTGCCTCACTAGGCCTTTTAGTTTCTTTTTCCCTGCCAAAACCTCTGTAAATAGTTTCTTTATTAGTTTGTCTTCAGATACATCTTTATGAGTATGGCATTTGATTCTTCCTGGAAGCCTAATACAAAGCAAATATTAAGACTTTATTCTAGGGTTGATGAGAAGCCATTCAAGATTGTAAGCATAGATGTAAAAAGGCTAGTTCACCATTTTATATTTTTCATCTCAAAACTGTGAGTAGGATAGATTTCAGGGGTAAAATATTTGCTTCAGAAAAACCATTGAGCAAGATTTAGCAATAAACCAGGTAAGAGATGATGATTATCTGACCAGAATAAAGGTAGTAAATACAGAGAATAGATGACAGATGTGAGAAATGTTTAGAGATAGGCCTGGCATGGTGGCTTAGGCCTGTAATCCCAGAACTTTGGGAGGCCGAGGCAGGTAGATCACATGAGGCCAGGAGTTCAAGACCAGCCTGGTCAACACAGCAAAACCCCGTCTCTACTAAAAATATAAAAATTAGCCAGGCGTGGTGGTACACATGTGTAATCCCAGCTACTTGGTGGCTGAGGCCCAATAATTGCTTGAACCTGGGAGGCAGAGGTTGCAGTGAGGTGAGATCACGCCATTGCACCCCAGCCTGGGTGTCAGAGGGAGACTTTGTCTCAAAAAAACAAAACAAAAACAAGAACAGAAGAAAAAAAAACGTTAAGAGGTTAAATTCAGTAGTATTGGCAATTAATAGAAGGTCAATGCCAAGGAAGAGGAAGGAAGGGCTCAAGGGTGATGGCCCTTCTATCTTAGGAGATGACAAAGTGGGTAATTTCTATCTTGGGAGATGACAGACTGGGTGATTCTGCTTACAACAAACGAAACAGAAGCGCTGAAGCTTCTGAACACAAGAGCAGGAGAGAATTTACTGAGGAAAAGAATGAGTCAGTTTTCGCCAGGTTGAGTTTGATATGTCTGTGGGACATCCAGGTGCAGATGTTCAGCAGCCTGTTGCATATTCAAGCCTGAAGCCTGGAAACGTGCTCTGTACCTAGGTAGATTTCGGAATCTCAACTACAAATGGTTGTTGAAATTTCAGGATTGGAGTTAGGGAACACAGGGATTCAAAGAATGGGCAGAGAAAAGTTGGTTGTAAAGAAAACAGAGGAGGAATGGCCAGAAATGTACATGGAGTCACAAAAGCGTGTGCTCAGCCCAAATGCCAAAAAAGTGAAGAGTTAGAAGAAAGGAGTTATCCCCAGCAGTTTGGGAGGCCGAAGCGGGCGGATCGCGAAGTCAGGAAATCGAGACCATCCTGGCTAACACGGTGAAACCCCATCTCCACTAAAAAATGCAAAAAAATTAGCCGGGCGTGGGACTACGGGCGCCCGCTACCACCGGAGGCTGAGGCAGGAGAATGGCGTGAACCCAGGAGGCGGAGCTTGCAGTAAGCCGAGATCGCGCCACTGCACTCCAGCCTGGGCGATGGAGCAAGATTACGTCTCAAAAAAAAAAAAAGAAGAAGAAGAAGAAGAAGAAGAAGAAGAAGAAGAAGAAGAAGAAGAAGAAGAAGAAGAAGAAGAAGAAAGGTGCTATCTAGATGGCGAATTGTAGGAATATCAAGTGATCTGGGTACAATACTCCATCTCCAGTTAGGGACTGTATAAGAGCTATTGGATTTGTCACTTTTCGTACAGATTCGTTATAGGTATCAACAATATGTAAATTTTCCAGCACAGTGATTAGCACATGGTAAACATTGGATTTTTTTAGTTAAGTTTTCTAAAACCATTTACAAAAGTTCACACGATATAAAGAGTAAGTACTAAATGTCAATTTTAAAATGTAATTAGAAATTTTATAAATTTTATTGTAACTTATGATACCAACTTAAGTTAGAAAAAAAATTAGAAAAGGCATCTAAAAAATAAAGACTTTACCACTTCGGTGAACAAGTGGTCAGATTAAGCAACACTTCATAGGCTGCAGACTTCTAGATAAAGTTGGGTCTTACTAAGTAAAACAACAATATCTGCAGCAGCTGAAGCTGAGGGAGATCTTATCAAACAAAAAGTGGTGACTATTTTATGGTAAAGTATATAAGGCATGGCCAGTTGGAAGATTCTCCATAGATACAATGACTCTAATTCTTTAAGACTCTTAAACATTATAGACCAGGAAATGCCAGTGTTAATATCTGTAGGGCTGATAAAATCTGTGCACATCTTGAGAGTATTTACCTTTTGATGTAAACCTAACTGGCACATGACTTCCTTGGATATACAGGGTGTTCCTTCTGCTTTCTTAGAAGACAGGCAAATGAGCAGATCCCAAGAGCCCAGATCACCTAAAAGCAAAAGAATATTCAAAACAAATAAGTTTTCATCAGATATTTTAAAAGCAATATTTAATTCTTCAGATTAAAAAATGTAATTATTTAAATTCTGAAACACAAGTAAATGATCTCAAATATACTTAAGACAAAATGTCAGTAAAATAACTAAAATTCAACTTTTTAAATTTTGGAATTTCTAGTATTTTTATATTTAGTATTTTATTCTATAGAAAATGTAATTGTCTATATTATACATATTATAAAATTCATTTAAAAGACATTATAAAATTCATTTAAAAGATTGAAATTAGAATACCTTAAATCACTTATTTTAAAAATTAATAAAGTCTTTTTTTGTAGATTTGGGAGAAAAAATAATAAAATCTTTTAAGATAGAAGAAAGCTGTGAAGTCAAATAATGATAAGAAGTGAAAACATCAAATATTTTGTTCTGGGCTTAGGTCTTCCCACTGTTTTTCATAGATTTACTCGTCAAACATCAAATTTACTTTTGTGATGTTCCATAAAAGAAAGTGTTGTAATAGAGAGAAAATTAAATTCAATGAAAATAAAAACGACAGATTTTGCATAAAAGAAATTTGTAATATAGTTATACATAGCAGAGTTCAGTTCAAACTATGGAGTATAACACAGACGAAAGCAAATGATATTTCAGCTATTTCACCAAGGACGAAGCTATTTGCCAATAAATCATAGTAACTTGCCAAAATAATCTCAGAAGGGTACATTCTTGCCTAATCTCTAAACATTTTAAAATTAACATTTGTGTGTATACATGGGTTTATTTTTCTTTATTCACTTTGATTTATATATATTGCTATATATCTATATATCTATATCTACATATAGATATAGATCACATGCCCTACATATAATTGGTGCTTTAAAAATATTTCTTGACTAATGCATGAATAACTACCCCTTGAGAGCATGGTAAACACATTACCTCATGGAGAAAAAACAACAATAAAAGCAACAGAAGAAATGTATTTCAATTTTTAATGTTATTCAAAGATAATATAGAAATAGGTATCTCAAAAATAACCAGGAAAAAACCCCTCTGGGTAATGTCTAAATGAATTGGTATTACTTAGGAAATAGTCCTCATTTTGGATGAAAATCCAATTTAAAAAACAAACAATTTCTGTATACATTCTCTCTTTTGTTGATCAGTCCTGAGATAAATATTCTGAGTAATTATTTATGCCAGACCTCACCAGTCATCTCCTGCATTAGGTCTAGTAGCTTCTAAAAGGCTACAAAGTAACCAACTTCTTTAAATACCTCGCTTTTCAAATTTTTCAAAAGAATTTCTCACTTGACAAGCATAATATTTCCAAAGAAAGGCTTTATGAGAAAAGTATTAATAAGGAAGAGGGATCTATGAAAATTAGAAATGAAATTTCACTCCCCACCAATCAAGTCATTTTCAGTTTCACAAATCTTGTGTTGTCTGGGCTACTGGTTCCTCTGTTTTTAATTGTCCTGTTGTTGGAAGGGAAACCTGTCTGCCAAACAAGGAATCCAGGCAATTGAACTCAAGCTCTTATCCTAGAACTTCTCTGTTTGCTTGATGTATCTCAAGATGCTGGAAGACAGCACAATAAGGCAAAGGAGCAAGGAGAGGTGCAGCAGTTGATTTGGGGATGAGAGAAATCTCATCGTGCAGCAACCATCAGGCCTTAGGCTTGTAAGATCTACCCTGCTCCATACACTCTCACTTTCAAGAAAAGTTCCCATAGATTCCTATAGACAAAACCAAATACTATATGATGAATCCAATACTTTATTTTAAAAGTGCACCTGGCTTTTTCATCCCAAACTTTTTGATTTGGATTCAAAGCAAAACACAAAGACTGTTTCATTCTATATCATTTCTAGCCCAGGAAATACTAGAACCCTAGAAGAAACCTCCTGTCATATGATTCCCAACTAAATATTTTAAGAAGATAAGGATATGCACAGAGGGATTTCAAATCATGACCTGCAGTGTTTTGGTCTCAGAGTAAGTTTTATATTCCTCTACGTCTAAAGCGTACCCTTCTTCACTATTCAAGGCACATGCATAAATTCTAGAGTTGATAGAAATATATATTTAAGCTATAAATGTTTAAAATGGGAAGACACATTTAAATAATTCAAAGCATTGAATTTATAAAGAACCTTCTGTGAACAGAACATTGTACTCAAAGTATGAAAGTAAATAGCAAAAAAAAAAAAAAAAAAAGAGCAGAAAGTCACTGCTCTCAGCAATCTCTTTGAGGGGTCTAAACATTAAAAACAAAGTAGGAGAAAGTAAGATAACTTACAAAGCATTACACAGCTTTTTGCCATTCATAAGGGTGACCACCTCATCCCTCAAAGATATTTAATTAATATTTTAAATTAATAATTTAAAAATACTGTATAGTCCACAAATCTCCTCTTAAAATGAAGTAAAGTGTAACTGAAATTTCAAGTAATATCTTCATACACCTTCTTCCCAAATGCTTGCTAGCACGGTCTAAAAATGCCGATTGTTTCCTCTCAAAACTCCCACTGTTACCCGCATTGAATCCCACTTCAATGTCCCCAAAGCTATTTCCTAGTTAAACATTTAGTAGACCTTTTCACTTTGTCTTCATTTCTATTTCCAACATTAGAAGTCAGCTCCCTCTCCTGCTTTCCAAAGCCCTTTTTCTTTTTTTAATGAAGTTTCACTTGTTTCATGAGAGCTACTATGTATTAAAATTTAGTTAAAGAAACCCTAAAGCCACATTGAAATGTAGAAACTGGGCAGAGATCAAAGTGCTTTCACTAGCTAAGTAAATCACATTGAGAAGTTAGCGTTGGAGCATTTGGGATACAAATTTGTACCTCAGCACAATTACAAATTACTATATATTGCGGGGCTTTGGAGCCAAATTTCACAGCTGAAAGCATGAGCATTTAGGAGGCAAATGCCCAAGGTCTCCAGCAGAGATTGCAAACTAAAAGCACACAGGCAAGTCAAGCCCTCAGACGGGATACATTTGGCCTGCACAGCGTTTGTTTTGTTTTTGTTTTAAGTATTTGCCAAAATGCAAATGTCAGCACAATTCACATAGAAAATTCCAATTTCAGCCTTTATTTGAAAACTTGGAAGCTCTGGTAACACTGGGTCCATATCCTACAAGGCAGTGACTGGCTGGAGCCACTTCCCACATGTTCTCCAGTTTGCCATGGTCTCTTACCCCCACACCTGGCCCTAACTCTGCTTGGGCTCTGTCTCTGGTAGCAGCACACCATCCTAGACCTGGCATAAAATAGAGTGTTCCAGGTTTCCATGAGTTGGCCATTTGACAAATTGATGTTCCATGTATTAGCTTTTAATGAATTAGAGTTGTTCATTAGATAAATTGGTTTTATTAAGATAACATTAGGTAAACTGCTATTTAGTTAATTGGCCCTAGAGGGATGTTTGAATATACCCTTTGATCTCTATATTTATCATGCTATTCCATAAGATTGGGGAAGGTCATTCAATTCCAAGGACATTTTGTTGGTTACATTAAAGGTGGCAAGGGCTGCAACTTAGCCTCTTAGGGTTCCTTCCTTTCAGAGCCTGGAAAAATCAAGAGTGGTCTCTGATCATCTTTTTTTTCCTTCCATCTCTTCTTCCCAGTTGGAGTGCAAAAGTGGCCCAGAATCTGCTCCTACCTGGGCCTTGCCTCATCTCTTTTTCATTCACACTCTCTCGTTACACTTTTTTCCATGTTGAGCCTGTCTCAAGGCTGTTGCCATACTTGTAAATGGCCTAGGACAGGCTCTTTCTAAGCACTGGAGTAAATGCTCATTGTTTATGTCTTTCTCGATGTGCCTTTTCTGCACTGAGAAGGTTGACGTTAGAGTAAGAAGTGCTAAGACATCAGATTTGTGTTAGCTGAAAACAGGCAAAGCCCCTGGTCAATTTGGGTGGTGACTTCTTAGGTTCTCCTTGCATGGGGAAAAGGACAACTCTATATGATTTAGCCTTGCTCTTTAGAATACTGCATTAGGATTTGGGGGCCAAAGCCACTACAAATAAATTAGTAGTAGAAGTAGTAGTAACAATGATGTGAACAGCTAATAGTTCTTCAGAACTTACAATGTGCCAAATATTGTTCCACATATTTGTATTATCTCATTTATCCTATACAACAATCTATTTGATATGATTATTCTATTTTTTACAGGCACAGAAAGGTTAAATAACTTGCCCAACTTCGCCGTTCCAGTTAGTGGTGGGAAGAGAATTTGGATACAAACAACTAGCTCTAGTGGCCATGTTCTTGAACATTACACCATTATCTCCTTTGAAAACAGGGAAGCAACAAAGAAATTTAGCTATTGATGCCTTACATGTATTAATTTATGTAATATTTCCAACAACCCTGTGGAGTAGAAACAATTATTACATGTTATTACATGTGCTTTACAAGTGAGGAAACAGACACAGAAATTATCCAGCTCTAGCCTTTCTCTCTCACTGTCTGGTACATCTGTTTGTCTTTGGAAGCTCAGAGGAAGAAATAACTACAGCAGGTATAACTCAGGTATCCCTAGACCCTCACCTGAGTATCGTGCCCCATCATACTATTGGCAATACCACTGGTAATCAAAGTTAAATCTTCCTATATAAAAGGAGCTAGTACTTACCTCGCAGGTACTCAGGAACTAGAAATATGTACTTGGCCTCTACCTATTTTTGAAAATATATCCTTAAAACTTTCTTAGTTTTTTTTTTTTTTAACAATTAAAATTATTTCTTTCCCTGTTGCGGAGAAACCAGAACTTCCTGATCAGGCTTACCAAGGTCTTAAATAGAAAGGTCATAGGGCATAATTCTAGGAAAACAGGATGTGGATGCTCCAGTCCCCATCTCAGAATGTGAAAAACCTACAGGCACCTCCCAAACACATGGAAGCAAAGCTGCTGATAACACGAATCACTATCATGCCTTCATAGTGTTATCTCTGGAAAAGATGAAAACTTCTCAGACAATTTTGGAAGGAGACGTCAGGGTCCAGATCAATTAATTCAGATATAAAATGGCACTGACTATAGTTTTTATCCTTCTCTAAGTGTTCTCAGAAACCAGCTAACATCTGTTCATGTTAAAAGTAAGAGCAATTTTTAGAGGTTTTTGTTTTGTTTGGTTTTAAAATGAAGCATCTGCCCTAAGGAGTGAAGCTGCCTTTAGAATATTTCCAGTTTCTCATAGACAGGCTGCCATAAAGCAAACACTCATTTCCTGGCTCACAAATGACCTCCTTCGCTGATAACATCTGCAAGATCCGTAATTTAATCCAGAGAACAACAGAGAAATCTGAGATAGCATCGTTCATATTAGCATCAAATGCTGTTTATTCTCAAGGAAGGACAACTTTAATTTTCTGGCACACGTAATAAAAATCTAAGAATATTAAGTCTCTTCCTGCTTTATTCTTCTCCACAGTGTTTACCACCATCTCACAGATTATATATATATATATATTTTTCTGTATTTGTTTATTATGGTTCCCCCAATTTGAAAATCTGCTCCATGATGGCAGAGACTATATCTATTTTGTTTACTGCTAAATTCTCAGTACCTACAATAGTGACTGAAATGTAAAGCATTTGCCACATATTTATAAAATGTATAAATGAGTGAATCAGTGAATAACTGCATGTGAACAGCAAACAATTATAATTAAATCAAAAGCAAGTATATTGAAATTCTATTCTATAAGTTAAAAATAGAATAATAGTAAGAAAAACATTAGTTTTTTAAAGAGGAAATAAATATAATTTTGGTTCTTAGCTGGTAAGGATAAAAGAAGAGAAATAAACATGAGAAGAACAAAGTTAATAATTCATTGTGCTTAAATTATACAAACAAATGGGAGATTCCAGTGCTTTACATATTGGAAATTTTCTGTAAACACTTACACATTAATTTGAGGCAGAACAGATTTATAAAGTATAGTTTGGAAAAAAACATGTCCAAGAGCTTCTAGAATACAAAGCTACAAAAGCCAAGCCTCATTTACTTATTCACGATATTAAACTATCATATTCCATAAGGATACAACAAGGATGATTTCCTGAGTTTTTTTCCTTTAAGGTGAAGTACTAAAGGTGTTTAATTTTTTAGTAATTCATAATATTCCTTTATAATATAATATGTGAGGATATTTTATCTGTTCACTGTTCATTTGTATTACCCTTCTTTTCACAACTAAATTATAAAATCCCTATTAAATAACAAAGTATTTACCTGTATCCATCCTTTATCAGGATTAGTGCATAGTATTATGTTCATGAGTACATTTTTAGCTTATTGATGATAAATTAGGGTCTATACTTGATTCCACTACAAGATTAGTTGGATATAAGTTAATCATTGCAAATTCCTCTATCTTTTCCCAAATTTCTCAAGTTGCATTAACCAATTCCTTACTCTGCACTCTTCATGTAGGAGATCTATGGAACAGTACCACAGCACCCATAATTAATTTTATCTATGATTGTTCTTTAAGGACAAGAAACAGTCACCTTATTGTTTCTAACACTGATTATAGTAGACACTTAGTAGATGTTTACTGGGTTGACTATTTTAATTTTCAGAATTAAATTTAAGAGAAATCGTATGTACGGAAGCTTGAGATCCTGAATGAACTATACAACATGGCTACAAAATCTAAATAAATCTGGTCTCTTCACCTCAAGTGGCTGGTCATGGGTGTTTACTTGCTATGCTTCTGGCTCCATAGCCTTTAAGGGTTAATGAAAATGTTATGTTACTCAACAGAGAAATTCTAAACCATTCTCTCCATGAATGGCCTAAACCCATACTAGGGATCAGGCTTTCCTGTCCTAATGTCTACCCTCTTTCTGCCCAACAAGAGGTTGTAAAGATCAATGAGACATAATAGTATCTGTGATGAGTTTTGAGCTCCCTAAATTTTTCTAAGCTACTCATAGGTTCAAGAAAGTGACATTATCCTTAAATTTTGCAAAAGAAAAGATTTTTGTTGTGAAGAAATTAGCCATTTAAAAAAGTGTAAAAGGAAATCAATGAGTTTACTTTTGTGAAATAAATCCTTTAAGAAATGTTCACTTTAGAAGGCTTGCTAAAGTTCCCTCCTAGTTTTTTTAAATGATTTTTTTAAAAAGGTGTTCATGCCATTTATGTCATTTTCTTTTGAAGTGTAACTGACTATATACATGTGTGGGTATGCGTGCTTACATTTTTACTGCTTTCAAGACTATTGTCTGTCTGGGACAACACTCTCATTACTGCATTTTACGAAATTTCTAAATGTCTGAAATGCTCAGCAGCTTGAAACACCTTAAAAGATATTAACATTGCAACAATTTAAAAATCAGAAAACTCCCAGTGCAAAATGTTGGTTTATAATACCATTCTCCAATAAAAGGAAACATGTTGTTGGAGGAATGACTGTTTTAAGGGTTGGGGCAGGAAATACACAAGATAAGCTTAGACTGTTGCAGTGTCAGAAAGTAAGAAGTGCTCAAAAACAAACAAGCAAGCAAACAAAAAAGTAACAACAAAGGTACGTCGAAGACACACTGAAGTCAACGATTAGAGCTGGAGCAATCTGGGCAATTAAATAAATAGAGTAATATTGAATTATAAGCTAAAGTAGAAAATAAATATCCATGAGCCCATAATGGTGCAAATAACTGACTGAATAAATAAATACATAGTGATGAAGAGACAAATCTCTCATGCAGAAGAATTCCAAAACAGTTACGTAGCTACTCTGCCTCCAAGGAGGTAGAGCATAAGTTCTTACTACTTTAGCGTGAATGGCACATGGTGACACCTTTCCAAGTAGTTCAATATGGAAAGAGGGAATAAAAGAATAACTTTGTAGTGGAAAAACCTAGCAAACATTACCTCAGTCAGATAATCAGGTTAACGTGAACAGAGCTAAGTCATGTGGGTAGTACAAACTCTTGACATGACATGATAAGGATGATGCTTTATCTCTGTGTTCACACTCCTTCAAACCATAACTCTAGTCTAATCATGAGAAAAACGTCAGGCAAATTCCCACTGAGGGACATCAAAATAGCTGACCAGTTCCTCTCAAAACTGTCAAGGTCATAAAAAATGGAAAGTCTGAGAAACTGTCACAGCCAAGAGGAGTGAGCTGAATGAAACACGATGACTAAATGTAATATGGTATACTAGATGGGATTTTTGAAACAGAAAAAGAACATTAGATGAAAACTAAGAAAATCTGAACAAAGTATGGACTTCAGTTTTTAAAAAGTCTGAATAAATGAATTCTCCAGAAGAAACAAGATGATGATTGTTATGTGGTAGTAACTAGACACAGACTTTCACATATTAATTATACATGTCACCAAAGTATTTTATACTTAGAATGTTGTATCACAAAACCAATCAGCATTATAATGCTGAAGGTAAAAATAATTACTTTTTATGTAACATGCATTCTTCCACAAATAAATTCCAATTTTTAAAAAAATTCAGAGGACTGAAAAATAGATCAAATTTGGAGTTGAAAGCCCCTTCTTAATACATGCAGCTCCTCACATGCCTTAAGGTACTAAAAGCCGTCTACAGCAAACCCACAGCCAACATTATACTGGATGGGGAAAAGTTGAAAGCATTCCCCCTGAGAACTGGAACAGGAAAAAGATGCCTACTTTCACCACTTCTATTCAATATAGTACTGGAAGTCCTAGCCAGTGCAACAGACAAAAGAAAGAAATAAAGGGCACCCAAATTGGCAAAGAGGAAGTCAAACTGTCGCTGCTTGCTGATGATATGATTGTATACCTAGAAAACCCTAAAGACTCATCCAGAAAGATTCTAGAACTGGTAAACGAATTCAGCAAAGTTTCAGGATACAAAATTAATGTACACAAATCAGTAGCTCTGCTGTACACCAACAGTGACCAAGCTGAGAATCAAATCAAGAACTCAACCCCTTTCAAAATAGCTGCAAAAATAATAATAATACTCAGGGATATACCTAATCAAGGACGTGAAGGACCTCTACAAGGAAAACTACAAAACACTGCTGAAAGAAATCATAGATGACATAAACAAATGAAAACACATCCCATGCTCATGGATGAGTAGAATTAATACTGTCAAAATGACCAAACTGCCAAAGGCAATCTACAAACTCAATGCAATTCCCATCAAAATATCACCATCATTCTTCACAGAACTAGAAAAAATAATCCTAACGTTCATATGGAACCAAAAAGGAGCCACATAGCCAAAGCAAGACTGCAAAAAGTACAAATCTGGAGGCATCACGTTACCTGACTTCAAACTATACTATAAGGCCATAGTCACCAAAATGGCATGGTACTAGTATAAAAATAGGCACATAGACCAATCCAACAGAATAGAGAACCCAGAAATAACCCCAAATACTTACAGCCAACTGATCTTCAAAAAAGCAAACAAAAACATAAAGTGTGGAAAGGACACCCTATTCAACAAATGGTGCTGGGATAATTGGAAAGCCATATGTAGAAGAATGAAACTGGATCCTCATCTCTCACCTTATACAAAAATCAACTCAAGATGAATCAAAGACTTAAATTTAAGACACAAAACCATAAATATTCTAGAAGACAACATCAGAAAAACCCTTCTAGACATTAGGTTAGGCAAAGACTTCATGACCAAAAACCCAAAAGCAAATGCAACCAAAACAAAGATAAATAGAAGGGACTTAATTAAACTAAAAAGCTTCTGCACAGCAAAAGAAATAATCAGCAGAATTAACAGACAATCCACAGAGGGAAAGAAAATCTTCACATTGTATACATCCAGCAGAGTACTAATTTCCAGAATACAAGGAACTCAAACAAATCAGCAAGACCAAAACAAACAGTCCCATCAAAAAGTGGGCCAAAGACATGAATAGACAATTCTCAAAAGAAGGTATATAAATTTCCAACAAGCATATGAAAAAATGCTCAACATCACTAATTATCAGGAAAATGCAAATCAAAACCACAATGTGATAACACCTCACTCCTGCAAGAATGGCCATAATCAAAAAAGAAAAAGAAAAATAGATGTTGGCATGAATGTAGTGAAAAGGAACACTTTTACACTGTTGGTGGAATTGTAAACTAGTACAACCACTATGGAAAACAGTGTGGAGATTCCTTAAAACCTTTAAAATAGATCTACTATTTGATTCAGCCATCCCACTACTAGGTATCTACCCATGGAAAAGAAGTCATTATATGAAAAAGATACTTACACAAGCATGTTTATAGCCCCACAATTTGCAATTTCAAAAATGTAGAACCAGCCCCAAATGCTCATCAATCAATGAGTGGATAAAGAAAGAAAAAAAAAATATATATATATATATATACACACACCATGGAATACTACCCAACCATAAAAAGGAATGAAATAATGGCATTCACTGCAACCTGGATGGAACTGGGAGACTATTATTCTAAATGAAGTAACTCAGGAGGAAAACCAAACACCATATGTTCTCAGTATTATGTGGGAGCTGCTATGAGGATGCAAAGGCGTAAGAATGATACACTGGAATGTGGGGATTTGGGGAAAAGGCTGGGGGATGGTGAAAGAGAAAAGACTACGCATTGGGTACAGTATACACTGCTTGGGTGATGGGTGCACCAAAATCTCAGAAATCACCACTAAGTTACTTATTCATGTAACCAAATGCCACCTGTTCTCCAGAAACCTATTGAAATAAATTTTTTTAATGCATGCAGCCCCTCAAATCCCTACCTTTCCTTTACCTTTATTACTATTTCCCTCTAAATTTAACAACTCCTTTGGCATTTTATTGACATATATGGTTTTAACTATTGCTTCTGTCATTGGCTCACAAATTCACATTTCTTAATCTTTCTTATGTTTCAAGAGGCATTTCCAGTAATACTCTAGAAGAGATGCCCTGCTGAAAACGTACAAATTTGAACCCATTATCTCCCACGAAAAGACCCGCTCTTCCTCCTTTTTATTTATTTTTTTTTATTATTATTATTTTTTTAAGACAGGGTCTCACTCGGTCACCTAGGCTGGAGTGCAGTGGTGCGATCACAGCTCACTGCAGCTTTGACCTCCTGGACTCAAGTGTTCCTCCTGCCTCAGCCTCCTGAGTAGCTTGGACTCATCTGCACACCACTATACCTGGCTATTTTTTAATTTTTTGTAGAGACAGGGGTCTCACTCTGTTGCCCAGGATGGTCTCAAACTCCTGGGCTCACACAATCCTCCCACCTCTGCCTCCCGAAGTGCTAGGATTACAGGCCTGAGCCACTGTGCCCAGTCCTACATTTTCTTTTAATCATCAAAGCTATAGCCACTCTTTCTCAAACTAGAAGGCATAAGGACATCTTCAACTGGTACTCACATCTCCTTCCCAAATCTTATTAATTTCAAACACCATCAATTTGAAATTTAAATTTTTAAAATATTTCCTGGCCTTTCTAAATCCTATCCCATTCTCTAAATCTAAGATATCATCTCTGCAAAGTCTTCTAGCTAGTCTTCCTGCTTCTAATTATTTTTCCTTCTAGAATCTATTTTTCTTCCTATAGTCAGAGTTATTCTCTTAAAATACAGATCTCATCCTTGTCAGAACAATACAGGTCAAATTCCTTAGCACAGCAACCAAGTCCCTGCACATCTACTCCAACCCAGTCTTCTAGTCTCCTTTCCCCAGAAGTAGCCCCTCCCTACCACAAACACTCCTGTTCTCCAGCTGCACCTGCCTTTTTTTGGTCCCTGAAACTCCAAGCTCTTACAAACCTATATGCCTCTAGTATGGAGCTCACACTTTTGAATGCTCTTCCCTCCTATATTTGCTTAAGAAATCATTCTTACACACCAAGTGTTCTACTTGTGACACCTTCCTAGATCCCCACATTCAGAATTGCCCATTTCCTTTTCTGTTCTCCCAAAACATTTTATTTCTGCCCTTCAGACTGCTTCTATTTTACCTGATATTACATTTAAACATGTATAGCCTTGCTACTCAGAAATGCTCCATGGATCCACATTGTCATGACTTGAAAGCTTGGTGGAGATGCAAATTTTCAGGCCCCATCTTTGACCATACCAAATCAGAATTTGCCAATAAGCTCCCTAGATGATTGGTATATACAAGTAAGTTCGAGAAACACCTCTGCCCAATTGTTCTTTGAAAGGTCTTACCTTTGTAATGCTCCCTCCCCTACCCACACCAATTATAGGGTCCTACATATAGCTCTTATTTAATAACAGTGTGTTGAATAAGACTTGAGTGCTTAGTGTCACTTATAAAATACTTGATGTCGGCCAGGCGCAGTGGCTCACACCTGTAATCTCAGCACTTTGGAAGGCAGAGGCGGGCAGATCACGAGGTCAGGAGTTTGAGAACAGCCTGGCCAACATGGTGAGACTACATCTCTACTAAAAATATAAAAAATAGCTGGGCATGGTGGTGGATGCCTGTAATCCCAGCTACTCTGGAGGCTGAAGCAGGAGGATCGTTTGAACCTGGGAGGCAGAGGTTGCAGTGAGCCAAGATCATGCCATTGCACTCCAGCCTGGGTGACAGGGCGAGACTCCATCTCAAAAAAAAAAAAAAAAAAGAAAAAAAAACTTGATGTCTGGCTATAATAATGCCCTCCTTATAATCCTTGTTTTGAGTTTGATGCTTTATCTTGGCTTCTTTTATTACTTGTATTACTTGAGTATATAATATGACTTTTTGATAGACATTCCTTATGCCAAATTCTGCAGAACAGCAAAAGCGGTTTTAGTGTATAATTAGCATTATGACACTTCATTTAACCAAATATTATTCCTTCTTCCTGTTCTACTAAATGTTATTTTTCATGACTTATGTGAAATGCAATGAACAAAACCTCATCATATCTGGGTTAACATTGTATAATAAGGCATTGGGGATTGTGAGAAGTCTAAGAGGAAGGAGAGAACCACTAATTTCTAATTTATTTCAAGAATAAATCCACACTAATTCAGCACAGATGAGAATTAAGGCTTGAGAAAATATAATTCACTAACATGAGAAAAAGAATCAACTGTCTCTCAATGGCTTATTACTTAATGCCACAGTATTTTAGGATTACACATCTATTCATAAGCATTATTTTCAACAATCTTTGGAGATTTATTGAACCCAACCATAACATTACTGTGAGATATTTATGAAGGAAGTCTTATCTTCCATTTTAAAATCAAACAATAGATAATCTAATAAGCTTGTTCAGGGTCATTTCAAATAGAGGATATAAGGCATAAAACTCAGACCTCCCAGGAATGATAACACTCACATTTTGGGGATGTTACAGGGATGGTGAGTTAATATTTTTAAAGTGTGTAGGACACTGTCAGTATTTGATAGCTTTATATAAGTGTTTATTTAGTGAATAGCTAGGTAGGTGGTAGGTAGATACAGGCAGATAAATCCGACATCTAGGTGATGAACTTTCAAGTAACAAAATGTGACTTCTATGTGTCTTGCCAGCCTATTATTTAAGGCTTCTGAACACAGTGACATAACATAGTGTCATGAAGAAAACACAGGAAATGATAATCGTCTCTTCTAACCCTGACCCACACCCTCATGTTTCTTCAGCAGGCATTCCTCCTACAGAAGGAAGAAATATTAACTTGACAGACACTCAGCAGTGGTTTCAATCTAAGAAAAAGAGAGGACCTCACAGTAGTTGGCCTCAGTTAAAATGTATGCATATTACCTAGAACCAGGCTCAGCAGTTTTCTCTTATTTGCTAGAATAGGTGACATCTTGAGCCCTGAAATATGATGGAGGAAGGTACATTTTCATGAGTAAATAACAACAAGCTCCAGGTGGTAGGTCTCCTTGGATCCTAACGTGTATGCTTTAGATACAGAGGAAGCTGGGTAATGAGTAATCAGGGCTGTCGCCTAAGACAAGTTTCATCCACTTCACAATTTTCCTAAAATTGGCCCTGTTCCCAGCAGCCAAGGATATATCAGAAGTGTCTCCTAAGGCTAATAATTCTGTCATCTATGAGATGAAGAATATTTAGGCCAATGTGAAACTATGCCAAGTACTATTAAACTGCATCATTCCTACACCTCTAAGAAGTGTTGTTTTTTTTTTCCTTTTTTTCTCTTTTACTTCAAGTTCTGGGATACATGTGCAGAACGTGCAGGTGTGTTACGTAAGTATACATGTGCCGTGGTGGTTTGCTACACCTATCAACCTGTCATCTAGGTTTTAAGCCCCGCATACATTAGGTATTGGTCCTAATGCTCTCCCTCCCCTTCCCCACCCCACCACCCCGACACCCTGACAGGCCCCCCCCGCGGTATGATGTTCCCCACCCTGTGTCCATTTGTTGTCATTGTTCACCTCCTACTTATGAGACACGCAGTGTTTAGTTTTCTGTTCCATGTTAGTTTGCTGAGAATGATGGAGAAGCACACTTTATCTCACATTTTAACAGGATTATGCCAAATCATAGTTCCATTTAGTCTCATAATATTAATTTTCTACCTTTCCAGAAATGCTTAGAACATAATTCACTGTTTTTATCTCTAATTGTTTACTACTAAAAATTTGTATAGCAATCTTGCTTCTTTTGTTTGTCCTTACTTAAAATCATTTTTCCTACTTCATTAACATTATTAATTTTAAGATTTAGGTATATACTTTATAATGTTTTGATGCTTTAAATTCTATCACGTTGGTTCCCAAGAATAAGATTGTTGGCTTAAAAGTATATTTAAAGTTGTATAGATATTTCCAGATTGCTTTCCCAAAATAAGGCCATAATATTTCACATTTCCACAAGCAATGTATGAGAGTTTTCTTTCTCAGAATCCTCACCATCAATAGGTGATATCACTAATTTTAGGTTTTGCCAATCTCATGAATATAAAGTAATACACTATATTTTAAATTATCTTTCCTTAAGTTTTTATGAGGTTCAGCATCTATTCTTCATTTTGTCATTTAAATTTGCTTTTCTATGAACTGTGTATTCATATATACATAGTATTAAGTTTTACAAATAAAATTATTTTAAATGTATTTAGTCAATAATATATTTTCAACTGATGTGAAAATCAAAATTTTTATTAAAAATAGACATTTTGTGTCATTTTTTAATCTGATGAGATAAATATCCAATACTGAAGACATGTGATAATGTCTAATACTGAAGACACATAGGGTATCAGCACTGTTGGTGGAAGCAAAAACAGAAACCATCTTTTTGTAGAGAAATTGGCAGAGACTGGCTGAGTGTGGTGGCTCATGCCCATAATTCCAGCACTTTGGGAGGCCAAGGCGAGTGGATTACTTAAGTTTAAGAGTTCGAGACCAGCCTGGCCAACATGGTGAAACCCCATCTCCACTAAAAATACAAAAATTAGCTGGGTGTGGTGGAAGGCACCTGTAATCCCAGCTACTCAGAAGACTGAGGCAGGAGAATCGCTTGAACCTGGGATCACGCCACTGCCCTCCAACCTGGGCAACAGAGCAAGACTCCATCTCGAAAAAAACAAAAAAAGAAAAAAGTTGGCAGGCAGGCCCACAGTTTTAATATTTTTACCCATTGATGCAATAATTTTGTATTATAACTCAAATCTCTAAAATATGATATAAATGAATATCACAGCAAAGTTGTATTTTATAGCAACAAGTTGAAAAAACCTAATTATTAAGAAGGAATTTGTTTAAAAATATGGTGTATGCATACAATAATATGCTAAAAAGAATGAAGCATGCATTTTCTATACACTTGCAGGAAATCTGTATGATATTCTGGTTAAAAGCTCAGGTTTGATGATAAACTGACCCTTGGGTCAAGCGTCAACTCCACCATTTATGACATGAACTGCTTTGGATATATGACTGCCTAAACCTCAATTCATCTTTGAAATAGAAATATCTACCTTATGGACTAGAAGTGAGAAATAGATTAGTTAATACATATAAAGTGCATAGAACAATGCATTTAATTAATATAGTAGTCCCCCTTATCTGCAGGAGATATGTTTCAAGACCTCCCCCCTCAAGTGGATGCCTGAAACTATGGATAGTACAAAACACTATAAAATACTATTTTTTTCCTATATATACATATCTTTGATAAAGCTGAATTTATAAATTAGGCACATTAAGAGATTAATGACAATAACTAATAATAAAATAGAATAATTATAACAATATACTAGCATCACTACTCTTGCCCTTTGGGGCCATTAAGTAAAATAAGGATGACTTGAGTAAAGCACTGAGACGAAAGTCGATCTGATAAATAAGAAGGCTACCAAGTGACTCAAAGGGTAGGGGGCATCTACAGCATGGAGATGTTAGACAAAGGGACGATTCATGTCCTGGGGCAGAACAGAGTTAGACAGCTTGAGATTTCTTCATGCTACTCAGAATGATGCACAATTAAAGCTTACAAATTATTTATTTCAGAGTTTTCAATTTAATATTTTTGGACTGCAGTTGACTACGGGTAACTGGAACCACGGAAAGTGAAACCATGGATAAGGGAGGAATACTGTACTCAATAAAGGCTAGCTTAAAACTATTGATTTAAAAATGTATTAATTGTTTAAAATTGTTAATATGGCAAGTCTTTTATCATGTACTGTTTGTAAAGAGGCAGGAGGTAAAAGAGTAGAACATAAATGTGTGTGTCTATCGTGTGTGTGTGTCTGTGTGTGCATGTGTGATGCTTAAAAAGATTCCTGGAAATATGCACAACATTGTTAACCATGTTATCTCTGGAATTTGGAGTAATTTTCACTTTTATTTTTGTATTTGCCAGTATTTGATTGACTATTCCACCATAAACATGTAACATCTTTATAAACAGGAAGACTATGCATCAAGGTAAGGAACATCATTCTCTAAAACATAAATTGTCTTTTACACACTGTATCTTTCAAAGCACTATAAAATGCCAAAAAAAATTAGACAGATATGAAAATGTATATAAAATTAACCTGGACATTGATCATTTTAAAATTCAAAATGTCTGATATAAGACAGAGTGCCTTAAAAATACTCAATGTGACAAGACAAGATAATAGGATTTCTTTCCGTAAGACAAGAAATAAAAATCGATTTTATCATGTGGTAATCATGTCATGTACGATTATAAAGTAGAAATTTCAGGTACCACACAAAATAAATTGCTGCTGATTAACCTTAATATGCTATCTCTCCTGAAAGTGGACAAATAATGAACAGAAATATTTGAGCAAACACACCAATGAAAATGTAAACCCTCATTATTCCTGATACATTTGCTATCTGGATGAGTTTTCAGATAGCTGTGGAACGTGCCTGCCATTCCAGCATTCCCAGCATTTCTAATATGACACAAATAACAATTTTCCAGAAGAAAGTTCATCAGTTTTATACTACAACTATGAATTTGAAATTTCACTCTATACTTCCATAGAACAACAGGTAAAGTCCTCAATCTTAAAACAGCCTCACTTATTGAAATAAGAGATTTGTTTCTTATGGGAAATTTCTTGTGCAGCTGATGAGAAATGACTTAACCTTTTCAGATAGAATTTTGATAACACAAATGAAGAGCTTTAGAAATGATTCTCACCCTTTATTCCAATAACTTTAATTTCAGAAATCTATGCTAAAAATAATTAGGAATGTGGACAAAGATTTACATATAATAATGTTATGATTGCATTATTTACAACAGCAAAACAGTGGGAAATATAATTATCTAATGATGTTGGAAAAATTAGGTAAATTAGGTTAAGGAAGTATTAAATAAATTTATATAATATAACTTTATACAGCCATTGAAATAATGTTTACAAAGTTTTTATGGTATGTGTTTCTGATAATAATAAAGCTAAAAATGGTTTATTATTATTAGCTATTAAACTAATAGCTAAGAAAGCAAGCTAGAAAACTGCATAAAATGTATAAAAGCTTATAAAGAAACATCCAACATTAATTATCTTTGTTGGTGGTTTACAGGTAATCCCTCTCATTCATTAGTGTACTTCTTTTTGCACTTTCCAAATGGAATGGACCTTAAAGGTCATTTAATCCAAAAATATCCATTTTATGCAAATGAAAAGCATCTGGAGAAATTAAGCAATTTAGACATGGTTTCACATAGACAATGCAACCTAGGCCAATGTTTTTTCCACAGTATCATCTTGCTTCTGTTTGGGGCCTATAATTATTATGTGCAATAAAACGTGTTCATATTTTTGCCTTGATCCTACTCTCTTCCAGAAAGTTCGGTGTGTCCAAAGACAGTCTAAATTCAGCTGCTTGTGCTATCATTTTAAAATGAGATCATTGGCTTTGACTGTAAAGAAGCTAACATGTACAAATACTTTGCAAGTCAACTCATAATTAATGGGTTCAGCGTCTGCGCAAATTCAGTGTGGGGCTTCTTACCAAAGTGAAAGGTTGATTCAGGGTCCTGGCAAGGCAAATGAGGAATTGTTTGGCTACTAACTACTTAAATAGGAAATACACAGAAGTTCTTTGTGCTTCTGTAAGAAAAGCTGAAAAACCATAATAAAAAAGTAACTAGCACAGTCATTCTCAACACGTGGTCCCAGGACCAGCATATTACCATTACCTGGAAACTTGTTAGAAATCCAAATTTTTAACCTGCCTCTCCATTCTTACTGAATCAGA
This sequence comes from Homo sapiens, assembly GCF_000001405.40. Lineage (NCBI taxonomy): Eukaryota > Metazoa > Chordata > Mammalia > Primates > Hominidae > Homo > Homo sapiens. The sequence goes on along the minus strand of NC_000007.14, from coordinate 121,028,176 downwards.
TCTACTGTGAGTAGGGCCCAGCAATCTGCAGTCTGCAACTTAACAAGCCTTCCAGAGAACACTGACGCATGCCAAATTTGAAAATCACCATCCTAGCAAATCAGTAGGTACCATGGTAGAGCTTTGCCAAAACTATGTTTTCAGGCAAACATCCAGACAGGGATTCCATTTAGCTTCTGATAATTATAAAATATAGAGCTAGTCAGGTCCCCGAGAGTCGCCTCTGCTCTCCTCATCCCTTAATCGCTTGTTTAGTGACTCTGATAAGGAGGTGGAATGTTAAACAAGATTTTTTAAATTCCAAGAGTTCCCCACTCTAAATGGAACATTTTGTTGTATAAATGGTGAGACTCACATGTGACTTTCCTACTTTTCCTTCGAGAAAGAGCTGAAACTCATTATTATTATTATTATTATTATTATTATTATTATTACTAAAGGTTATAATTAACTTGTTGGTGGAATTCTTTCTTTGGCAACAGAGATGTCACTGGTTTGATGAAATCTGAAAGAATGTTACAAAGAGACTTCACTAGGGGTAGGGGGATGTGAGTTCTGTTCCTCAGTTGGTTGAGCTGAGACACAGCCCTGAGCACATTTCATTTTGCTGTACCATAGAGCTGTTTCTTATGAAGATCACTAATTTTTTTTCCAAAAGTCCAAAGAAGAAAATGGCACTTGAATATCTGAAGGAGAGATTCAGCTATTTTATTAGTGTATTTGTGGGTTTGTTTTTTCAATTGCATATACATTTAATTGTGTATCTACTAGGTATATGCACGACATTGTTTTATGCAGAATACCATATAAATAGATGAATGAAATACTCCCTGCTTCACAAGAAGTTTATAATACAAAAGGGGAGATAAGATGAACACATAAAAATTATCAAAAAGTATGACACAAATCATACCCTAGGCATCAGAGATATATGAATAATGTGTGATGAGGTCTAAGGAAATTTGTTCACCATTTCTAGCTTGAGAAGAATTGAGGGGGGATTTCATACATTCATTTGAACTTTAAGAAATGACAGAGCCAGGCGAGATGGTTCACGTCTGTAATCCCAGCACTTTGAGATGCTGAGGCGGGACAATTGCTTGAGCCCAGTAGTTCGACACCAGTCTGGGTAACATAGTGAGATTCCCCTCTCTACAAAAAAAAAAAAAAATAAGAAAAATTAGCTGGGCTTGGTGGCACGCTCCTGTAGTGCTGGCTACTCAGGGATTGAGGTGGGAGGATCCATTGAGGCCAGGATGTCAAGGCTGCAGTGAGCCATGGTTGCACCACTGCACTCCAGCCTGGGCAACAAAGCCAGATTGTCTCAAAAAAAAAAAAAAAAAAAAAAAGAACTGACAGGAGGGAGCTCTAGGAAACAAAAACCTCAACATCAATGCAAGGCAGAAAGCTTTGAAATGTGATCAGGCAAAGGTGAGCAGGCCAATTACTATGGTTATCCTCCCTAGCCATGTATTAGTATCACCTGGGAAACTTTTTTTTTTTTTTTTTTAAATAATGATGTCCTGGTCTGTCTCCCTCCCCCAAAATTCTGATTTAATTTTCTGGAGTGTCACCTGGGCATTGGCTTTTTAAATTTTTAAGTTCCTTAAGTAATTGGAATGTGCGGACAGGCCTGAGAACCATGGCTATAGCAGGGATGTGGAAGTGTCTGACCCCATGGCAGGGGAAGTATTGAATGCCTAATTAAGAAATATGTGTTCTGTTTAGCAGAAAACAATAGGGGAGTGTTTAATAGCCACTATGATAGCACAAGGATGAGGCAAAGCAGCTGTAGGGAAAGGGGAGCCATGGCAGAGCAGATGCACATTTTACAGGGCTTGGTGACAGATGTGTGTTGTGATTTCAGGAAAGAGAAACTGAAACTGTAAGGAAGCAGGTAGACCCCTGAACAGGCCAGTTTCTCTTGAAAACTTGAGATTCCAGTTCACCTAAGTAAGCAAGTCCTCTGTTTTTGTTTTTTTGTTTGTTTTTTTGACAGTTATACCACTGTCATTTGCTCAATGGAAATATAAAGTTGGCATCACTGAAATTAACAAGTTTTTAAGAAAGAAATGATCGCTCAGAGCTTAAGGAAGACTGCCTAAATCATAGTGATCTCCTAACGGGGACGGGGGATGTGATGATGAGCTTTAGAGCTGAGAGAGTGAGGGAATATGGAACTAGCAACAGAAACATGTCAGGCAAGAATGATAGATACTGCCGGGATAGCACTATCAGTTGTGTTTTATACATGTTGAGGCGGTAGGACACACAAATCAAAACATCTATCAGGTACCTGGACAATCTTGACTCTCCAAATTCTGCCCATAGGAGACAAATTAGATAGGATTCAACCTTATCTAGAGGTTATATCTCCTGAGGGGGATATTGCATTTGCAGAGTACAAAAAATTCTTGACGGGAGTATCAAGAAAAGGAAAAAAATGACTGGGGATAAATATCTTGGAGAATGTCCATATTTGGAGAAAGAACACAAAGAAGGAGGGGTTGAAAGATGGGAGATGCAGGTTAAGGCATCATTCAGGAGGTTAAGAGGGAAAAGGGTTTGGAAGAACACTCCCAACCCATACCACGAGCAAGGTGTTTATTCCACTACGGCTCATGCATTTCATCGAGTTTGGGAAACACTGCTAGAGTAAGAAAAAAGAAACTGAGAAATTACCTCAGTGAATTCACATCAATGCTTAATTCATTATTTAAATAGAATTTATATAACTTTTGAGAAACACTGATATTCTACTCACGCCCAAATCTATTCTAATACCAAAAATATTGCAGTTTAATAGTGACTGAATTTCCTAACAAAAAGGAGTTTCTTGGTAAATTGTGAAGGCACAATTTTAGGAGATAGGTGGGGGTGAAAGTCATTATAGACAGTTAATTGGGGAGAGATTGCTAAGAAAAAATTTCTACTTTTTCTTAAGGCTTTATTACCCAAATGGTAGTTTGTAAGTCCACCAAGAGACAGTGTAAGAGGGAAGCAACTTCAGCTAAAAAAGATGAAAGACCTTCAGGGGAAAATGTTAATTATTTTGGGAAACATCAAGTCTAAAAAGGAAGTGAGTTGGGAGGTTTCAACAATATTTATAATATTGAGAGTAGAAAGTAAAAGTTGTACAATCATTAAAAGAGTCTGGGAACTATAGTTAGAAGCTCCCAAACGCCTCCCAAATTGAGAAAAATGTCAAAAATACTTCAAACAGCTAAACTGGATAATGCATTGGCGTAGCAAACACCCTGTACCTGGAGTCTCCAAACTCCCTTTTTAGTTAATCCACAAACTGTCGTTTGAAAGCTCCCGTATGAAGGAGTTTGTTTATCTTTCCTGGAGTCTTTCCTCAATCTAAATGTAATTCGGATATTATGTGTTTTTACAAATTAAATCTGCCATTCAAAGCACAGTTTAGGCAAAACCAAACAAAAATGTCTAATTTCTTTTCAAAAAATAGTCTTTTTTCCATTTTAAAGACATACAAAAAGAACAATGACCTGAAGTAAATTACTTATCAAATTTTCAATGCTGCATTTTTCCTTAAAAATAAAAGAAAGTACATCTAACAAGACAGTTCAGAGAAAGTATCTTCAAAGTTATATTTAAACATTTCCCAGCTTTAGACAATTTAAATACCCAGTCTGGTTTCTATGAAACTTAAAAAGATCAAACAATTAGAAGGAAGCTAGGCTTGAAGGGGCAATGCTAGGGACTTTGGTAAACATCTGGTTGCCATTTTCAGTTGTAAGAGCTAACCCATTTAAGGAAGCAGTTTAGTTTCTTTGGAGTAAAAACGAGACACTGGCTTTTTGTTCTCTGTGCACAGCGAAGGGTAAAGAAAACATCAGAATGGGGAGGTCACTCTAAGCTCAACTTTTATAAATAAGAAAATTTTTTTCAAAAATTAAAGTAAATTGAACTGAAGTCCCTGTAGTCTAAACAACTCAACTGAGTTAAGGTTAAATAAACATTCCTTGAGCTCCAGTGAGCCAATTAAAGAACGAATTCTGTTTGGTCGTAAATACATCAGTAAATCTATAAGCACTGAGGAAAATAACAATAAACCTGAGCATACAATTACTGTGTGTCATAACCCAGTAAAATAGAATAGTGCAGTCTTACATGTTTCTTTGATTCAATTCCTTTTTTCCCCCCAGTTTGATTAACTAAATAAAGTACAGAAGCACTTCTGATACCGTCCAAAGCCTATTACTTGCATAATGAAAAACGTATGTCAAACGTGTTCTAGGCAAAACACCGGCAAGGCAAAACACACAGTGCCTTTTAAATGTGACCTTTACTCTTTTGTCTTCCTGCTAAATAGTCATAGAGCATATTAAACTCAGGAAAGCAGTAGGGTGCTGGTGTGGGGCTAGAGGGGGGAAAGAAATGAGAAGAGAAGTTCATTAGGCTCTCAAGTCTTAAATTACCAGCAGAAGCATCTGCTATAAATGTGCACTATTAGTCCAAGAGGGCCACCTCCAGATTTGCTCCACACTGGTGTTTCTCACCTCTTCCTTGACTGCTATTTCTCTCTTCTGCCCGTGCAACACCAGACAAAGCAAAGACTAAAGAAAATGAATCCCTGCAATGATAGAGATTCACATTTTTGTCTTGTTTTCTCTCATTCTGTGTGTTTGAGTCTTATATTGTACCACAGAACTGTAGAGTTGTAAAAAAGCTTTGGTGGTTATTTCACTCATTCTGCTACATAATACAGCAACCCAGAGTTGCTTCTGTTGCAACCAAACTTCCTACTTTTTGTTCTGGGCTGTTCTATTGCTGGACAACTCTGATAGATAAAATGTCCTTCCATAAACTGGTCCTAGTGATGCCCTCTTGAGTTACTAAAAATAAATCTTGCATTCAAGCACCTTGTTAAACAATGGGAATACAAAAATATTGGTTCAACTACTACAGGGCCTCCCAGAAATATTCTCTTCAGTTGAACAATCTGTTTTCTCATTCCTGCTACAGTTCTGGCTTCTGCTGCAACTGTAGAAATAAACCCTCTTGAAGTATACGTAAATAATTCTGACAAAATGATAAAATATACTCTGTGTCAGAGTCTTTTGAACTACATATTACTGAGACTTGACCCCAGGAGCAGGTTAAAAACTTTGAAAAATATGTATCTTTTTTTTTTTGGCCACTTACTATCCTATGAAGTAAAACAATGATTTACTGAATAGCATCTGGATGATAGGAAAGATAATAATTTGATGGTGTCTTTTTTTTCTAGAGAAGTACGTTATTAAAATTCTGGATCATAATATATGTTTTTTCAAAGCAAAGAACTGGAAGACCAATAAAACTTACATTACACTAAGAAATAAACTACAGAGCATAATATAGAGGATGCAGATAGGACCTAAGTGATATGACGCGGTTTTTGACTGTCCTCCTTCTTGCTTTGTATGTTTGCGAGTAGCAAAAGCTGTATACTTACTTTTACCAGAGAGCATCCTTAGGCAACACTGTGTCACACTGCTTTATAGGCTATTGAACCTTCAGTAAATCAATTATCACCTCTCAGCAGATGACCCACAAACCTACATCTCCTGACCTGGCATTTCTGCTTGCTTGAGTTTCTGCTGAATACATCCCTATGAAAATTCACAGCACCTATAACTGAATATGTATAGAAAGAAACTCATCCAACCTGTCCCAAAATCAATAGGTCAAGTAACCTGGCAAATGTAACAGGAGAGCCTTGAAAGCAAGGCAAGAGTAAAATTCTTAAAAATGGACACAAGTACTCAAAAGCCCCAGCAGTATAGAATCATTTGATGTATAAACTATCAGCCCTATGTAATACTATATTTATGGTTTCATTATCTTTGGTGTAAGAGTGGACTTAAGTCTAAATAGAATATCAGTGTTCCTCTAAAGTCAAATAAAATAAAAGTTTTATGAACTAAGTTTAATATGAGTTTCCTGAGTGAATTTGCTGTTTAAGGAGCCCAAATATTGATGTACTATTTTATCTTCCTTTGTTCATGTATTTAATAAATATTTATCATATGCCCCTATGTGGAAGGTGTGGTTATAAATGATAAGCATAAAAGACATGGTCCCTGACCTTAGGAAGCTTACAGATTTTTTTTTTAATGTGAGATTTTTCCAAGGGAATAATCCAGGAGAGTATGTCAGAATTTCAGGAGGATTTACAACCCAGACCTTCTAATGAGAACATATAAGTCGAGAAGGCTAAATTGAAAAACACCTATCAAGTTCATTTTACCCATAATAACATCCAACAGCAGCACTCTTACACTACTGCATATTTTAAATACACCTCCCTACAGGGGAAATGTCATATTCTCCTTTCTGTAACTACTTCTTGACAGCAGTAACAATATTATCTCCCGTTTATGGGGTGATTACTATGTACCATTCTTAAAACAACCTCAAAAGGATCAACTTGTAGATGAGAATACCAAGACTTTCAGAGGATAAGTTACTTGCCCAGGGTTATGTAACCATTAAAAGGTAACACTAAGGACTCCAACCTAGGTTCTGTCTTACTTCAATGCTTATACTTTTTAATTTCCAAAGCCTACTACCTCCCCAAGAAAGTTATTATTGTGGTTAAGCTCGTCTTACTTATGGGCAATTTAAAGCTCGACTTCCTTATAGCTTCTTTTTTATTACAAATAAAAAGAAAAATGTGAAATATGTTTTCCATTACAAAGGTTAAGATTGATCTGTCGTGGATGTTTCTTTTCTATACAAACTACAGAAACAGCTTTTGGCAAGTAGCCACTATAAATAACCTTCAAAATTATACTAAATATCAAGTGATATACTGATGTTGGACATTCTTTAAAGTGCAAGTGAATGTAAATAAAACATAGGAAGATAGAAATCTATTAAATTATAAACAAGGAAGGAAATAGATCTTCCTTTTTATATTTTCCACAACATTAAGTAGTGATCTGTATCTCTTGCTCTATTAACTATATCTTTTAATAGTATTTCCCAAGAACACATGTGGGTAAATAAGAGTGTCCTTATTAGGAGTTGAAAAGCTGTGAAGCAGCATCATTTAAATACTACTCTCCAGAACACACTGTATCAAGTTTAATTTCAATACAAATTCCAATAAATACTATTTATTGTAGTATTAACTCTAGCCCCTTATGGAAATGTCTTTGCTATATCATGCTGTAATGTTATACTCTCAACTCATATTAGAATGTTGCTATATGAACCAAGATATGACATCTACTTTATTTCCAATACAAATGTTGCTCTGGCTTTTGACCCATTGCATAACTTACTGTTGTTTACTCAATACTCCCTTTGAAAAAATTGTTTTAAATTTCTCATTTGAGCATGTGGGAAGTTAGGGGGATGAATCATAATGGTTCCTTCTTCCTGAGAGTAAAACTTCTATTATTTCTCTCATTGTTCTAGGTGCTTGGAGGCTCACAGACAAAACTAAGCCTAAATTATAGTAGCTAAGTGGAATAACCAGTTTGGTGCTTAATTTTATATGTACATTTTATTAATTTTGTTATTATATATTTTATTGTAAACCTTCAAATCCTTTTTGAATAAGATTTGGTGTAAGTTAAAAAATGAAACATCTCAGTCCTAGAGTTGAATCATCAACTTGGTATGACATCAAGTTACATAGGCTTATTCTGGATACAGGAGCCAGGAAACTTTTTTCTGTAAAGGACCTAATAATAAAAATTTTAGGCTTTAAAAGCCATACAGACTCTGTTGCAATTAATCAACTCTGCCTTTGTAAAACAAATGCTGCCAAAGGCAATACAAAAGCAGAGGAGAGTGGCAGTGTTCTAATAAAACTTTATTTACAAAAACAGGCGGTGGGCCAGATTTAGCCAGTGGACTATAGTTTGCCAGCCCTTGGCAAGGATATCTATATGGTCTTTTACTTTCTGTGTTTCTTCAAAAAACATTCTATGTTAAACCCTCAAGTTATAAAAACAAGAGCAATTTTAAACTGCAAGACTGACTTTAATTCTGTAGCTTGCTTGCAGGTTTGCATTTTGTTTTTCACATGGATTATAATATACATAATTTGTTTATTTGTATATCCTTTTCAATACAATATGTGTTCAGAAATTGACAGAAAATTGCCAAATATCCACTACTCTTCAAGTATACATAAATGATTCTGATCCAATGATAAAATCTACTCTAAGTCAGAGTCCTTGATGACATACTACTTGGATTTTACCACTGGAGTAGGATTAAAACTTTCCTTTTTAGGCCACTGTGCACTGAAGCATTGATTTACTAAACAGCACTTACATGATAGGAAACAAAATAATTGAATGGTGCTTCTATCTTTTCCTTTAGAGAAGGAATTCTCCTTTAGAGAATTATATGTTCTCACAAATGCAGGGGCATAAGATATATTTTTCCAAAGCAAGGGATGGGAGAACCATAATAGTGCATATGTTTACTCTGCTAAGTTCTGTAGGCCTAAATCTGTAAAGACAATTGTTCTCATACTGTTCTCAAAATCAGTTTAAAGATGAAATGCTGTTTGTAAATATCTATGCAGTTAAATCATAGGCAATGTAATAGCATAATAGCAAGCAGACTGTTGCATTGTTTTATTCCCAAAATTAACTCTAAAAATTGTTACTCTTTGAACCAATAATATGTCCCTCAGAACAGTGCTTCCCAAACTGGGCTACACATAAGAATTACTTGTGGCTGTTTTTAACATGTAAAATCCTGGGTCGCTTTCTCTGGCTACTGCATGAGATAAAACACTGACTGGACTTTACTTTGTCTCCTTCTAGAACTCTGATAAGTTTGGACAAAGTGATTCAATCCCCACCACATACTACTCTGAAGTTAAGAACAATTAATGCCTTTAACAGATAAAAGAACTAGGGCTCAGAGAACTTAACTTGCGTAAGTCATATGTTCATAGCCCTAAAATCTCTCCCAATAGAGACATCAACTTCTCTTATGTCACTAGAAAGGAATTAACCAGTGGGTGGGGTGACATAACACCCATATTCTAATGTAGGACTCGAAACTGCCTACTTCTTCCTTTTCAATAAGTGTCTAGTATATAAGTCATAGGAAAACTAAATCAAATACAAAACTCAAAGTTACTCTACCAGTAAATATTATATTTAATAGTGGAGTATTTCCTATCTGGCTTATGACCATTTTAGTTTTGCTGATTTTTATCCTATTATGTTACTCAAAAGGTTAAAAAAGAATGACTCCAAGCTGGAAAGGGGCCATGTGTCCTTCAAAGGATGGTGCAAAGTGAGTGACTTTAATTCTGTAGTTTGATTGCAGGTTTGCATTTTGTTTTTCGTGTGGATTATAACGTGCATAATTTGAAAGTGCAATATGTATTCAGAAATTGACAGAAAATTGCTAAATATGTACTACTCTTCAAGTATACATAAATAATTCGGATCCAATGATAGAATCTACTCTAAGTAGATTTTAGAGGAGAATGGGATGGATCAGGAAAGGACAGGAAAGCAGGTGAAATAGGTGAAATAGAGAAAATACCTTCTATATTTATTGTCCTAGGATGAAAAATACATTTTATCAAAGTGTCAAAACTGCACCTGGGTACTCAGTAACATTTGTGAGAGTATCTGTTTTGTTTTTAATGTAATATTTTCAAATTGCAGGTTAGTAAACAGCAGAAAATGCTGTGGTAAAAGGAAGTGGAGTAGGGTTCTGGATTATTCTAAATTGTTTCCTCTTCCCCCAGGCTGCTCAACTTGGGAAGGTTTCATTTAAATATTCCCACTATAGTTTCATATTCTCTGTTGATATACACATGGTAAAAATAACCATGAGATGAATATGTGAAACTAAAGCAAAACAAATTCTGTAAGAATCACATTTCTAGGAAATATTGTTTTGTAGCAAGTGCCTCAATTCAAACATAATTTATAGATTAAATTTGTGGCATGGAAAATAGGCTGCAATAAAAATGTTTTCTTTTTATACAATAAATCATCAAGGAAATGTTAGATTATAGTCACAACTCTTTTTTAAAAAAAATTTCAGGTATTTGATGCATATTGTTCTCATAGTAAAAACTACAAAATCAAATAAAAAAACAAAAATCAATGTTCCATACTCATGAAATTGTGAAATTGCTACCCTTTCTTGAGACCTGTCCAGTAATAATATCTTATTATACACAGTAAAAGAATGCCAAGACAGAGGTAGGATTTAGATGTTTTAAAAGCTGTGGGAATGTGGGAAAAGGAAACCAAATCAGCATTTACACTGACAAATTCTAGGGACACTATATAGTTATCTTATGCCGCTGGGCCCAGCAGTTCCTTTGGCTGCCATATTCTATTGCCTTCAGGCTGTTTTTGCACTTCCTTGATATTTGGAAGCTGCAGAGTAATTCTCCTTTTTGTGGTAAAACTGACCCAAGAACATCAAGGGAAAGAGGAGATATAATCCATCTGTTTTGCAGCTGGAGAAAATAGAAAACTAAAGTTAAATTCAAGTTGAAATGTACAGATAATCCATGTTGTGCCCATAGAAAGTCAGTAGCAGCAACAAGAAGGCAGGGAAATATAGGAATTTTAGAAAACAGTAGCATGTTATCAGGGCCATTCTGCACGGCTCCAAGAGCATGGGTCCCATGGCAGTGTGCAGTAGTTATACAATCACCCCTTTAGTGATGGGATGAAATATTTTGTTGAATGAAAGAAATATTAAACATTTCATATTTTTTTCTTTATACTAATAGCTATTCTGATAAATAGGTTTCTAAGTATCATTTATGGGTATCCCAGGACTCTAGATTGGTCTTACATAATAGAGCCAACACCAGTGAAAATATAAGGTTTGCAAAGTTTCTTTTCAGATCTCCATAATACTCCAGAGCTTTCCTATTTTGTTTTCTTTTCCTCATTTGCTCCCAGAAGCTCAGTGCTTTAGATTTCCACACTACTCCTAGAAGGCAGTGATGACTAAATAGAATAAACAAATGCCTGTGTCCCCATGATCCAGGCTCTGCGTATTTTAAGACCTTCTTTCTTCTCATCAAAGCAGATCTTCTGGGCTCTGTTCCCTCAGAGTTTCTTCTAAGTAGCTCACAGTTTCACTGCCAATGTGATAAAGGATAGCCATGGCTAAATAGTCCCCCAACCTTCTCAGAAACATCTTCCCAACTTGCTTTCATTCATTCGCCAGCACAAACCAGCAAGGGGGCACCTAACTGAAGGAGTGCTGTGATGATGGCAAGATCATTCTGAAAGCTACTGTAATACCAGGATCTGACTCTTCTCCCCCAAAGGAACCAATGGCTGAGAGCACTTAACTCAAATTGCTTCTCCTCCTCCCCTTTTAATAAATAGGAAAATAGATATATTGTACAATCATAAAGAGAAAAATCTGATTTGCTTATTCTGAATGAGGGTTCTACATTATTGTAGCTCTCAAAATGATAGGTAAGTGCAGGATTATGGACTAAAGGAGAGATTGAAGTATCAAAGAGGTAAAAAGCCAGAGCAGAGAAAGTGAGAGTTGAAACACAGGTATCACCATCTGTCCATCCCTCACACCAGATGTAAGATGCGAGGTGAGTCACTTCAGCCAGTAAGGCCTCAGTTTCCTTTTCTGCAATCTGGGTTAGGGGTTGGAATTAATATTTCTTAATCTTAGGATGCTTGGCAGCTATAGTGTAAGTTAAATGTGACCATGAATACAGAATATAGCATGGAATCTGCCACAGTTACTTGTTCAAGAAACGTTAGGTCTTATTGTTATTGCCCTTTTGACTCTCATTATTTACTCAACTTTCTTTGCAAATAACTTGTTTAAAAACTTGTCTTTTATTATTCTCTCCAAATGACAGAAATAATATACTAATGGTACATATGATCAATATCCATACTTCTTTCCTATTTAGAGCCAATCTGTGAATCACATTTAAGCTGGCTTCTGGAAACAATTTCCAGCACATTCTACTTGCAGTCAGATGAAGCTGCAATTTTCTTAAAATATGAAGCAGTTTGGGTGCGGGGCAGAACATGTATTCAGTCTCATAAACATGAACATATTTTATGTAGCATTTAAACATGAACTATACAACTCCAAAATGCTACAAAAATATAAATGAAATAATTTCAGGAATAAAGAGACACAGTTAAAGAAAAATAGAGGGGAAGTTAAAAAAAAGAGATAAGTTTTCTATGATGTGAGAAAGTTGGTCATGGATAAATATTTGTTTTTATAAATTTTTTTAGAGGGAGATAGTAGCACATTCTAGAAATTGTTCAACATTATATGTCAAGTGACTTTGGCAGTTACTTCTCACTATTCTGACCTTGTTCTAGTAGCCCCGGCCCTAGGCCAGCATTGAGCCTTTCTTCAGCGATGACAACCGTATAGCCATGTTGAGTCAGAATGTGCTGGTGTAGCTGAAGCTCTGTTTTGCTGTAGAAAGGAGGCCTGTAGAGTATGGCCCTTCGGCCATGGCTGCCAAAGTGTGTCTCCATTGATTCTTTGACCTAAGAAAAGAAGGCATAAAAATTCAATATAAAAAAGTAGTACATTTCCCTTGAAGGACATCATGAATGCAAATCAAGGGCTATTTGGGAAGTTATTCTAAAGTTTTTCTCTAGAAGTGAAAGGCAGTTTCTCTGAAAGGCTGACAAGGACAAAGATGACCTCATATGCAAGAACTGAAGGTCAACTGAATTGTCCTCACTGTAACAGAAAGATGAAAATTTTAGGCCATAAAATATAGAGGTCCTTGGAGGAATACTGATGCATAGAAATACAGAGCTCAACTCTAGCTGAAAATACAAATTAATAGCAATGCCTTTAATCTGCACTGTGCTTTTATAAAGTAGTTCTAACTGCATTATCTTTTAATAGCTCTTTTAGGTAAATATAGTAGAGAAAACACTCAGAGAGGATGGGTTTTGTACTGAAAGGACATGGTCAGGAAGGGGTCGAGGTGAGAAGCAATCCAGAGCTCTTTGTAGATAAACAGTGCTGCAGTTTCTCTCAATTAGGCTGTAGCAAAACTGGAATGCATCTCAGTGAGGTAGAATGGGTCTTCACATGTGAGGAGAGGAGAACTACTGAAGTATCATAATTCTACGTTATTCCCTCAATAGTTTATTGCTCTTTCATATAAATATTCCTCTTTCTCACAATGGAAATTGAAATTCTAATAACAAAGGGGATTTTTGAATTGACAAGGAAAAAGAAGGCTGAAATTTAAATTCATTATAAGGCTTAAAGGCAGACACTCAGTTTTTTCTGAAAACTTGAGATTAAACCTCAGTAAAGTACAGATGATTTTTATTACTAGAAGGAGTGATGAGATTGGTTGGAGGTCAGCAAAAACCAGGAGAGAGGCTGAACAAGAGGAGCCAAAGGAGGTGGTGGAGAAGATGAGGGGGACTTGGTAAAAAACACAATTGGGAATCTAAATTACTTGCAATGACAGCTGTGAGTCAACCTGTCCATTTTATTAACCTAAAATACACTCTTTTTAATGTTGTGAATGCCATGATTTTCAGCACTTAAATGTCTTCATTATTTCCCATACTGATAGAATCAATTCTACATCATTTATTTTATTTTATTATTATTATTATTATTTTTTTTTTTTGAGACAAAGTCTCGCTCTGTCGCCCAGGCTGGAGTGCAGTGGTGCAATCTCGGCTCACTGCAACTCTGCCTCCCAGGTTCACACAATTCTCCTGCCTCAGCCTCCCAAGTAGCTGGGACTACAGGCACCCGCCACCACGCCTGGCTAATTTTTGTATTTTTAGTAGAGATGGGGTTTCACCTTGTTAGCCAGGATGGTCTTGATCTCCTGACCTCGTGATCCGCCCACCTCGGCCTCCCGAAGTGCTGGGATTACAGGCGTGAGCCACCGCACCCGGCCCAATTCTACATCTTTATTAAGGAACACAAGATCATTTAACATATACCCTGCCTTCCTTCTCTGGTCAGATCACATCACACTCTTAATCATCTTTATCCCTGACCCACAACCTGCTCCTTTATACATCACTATTCCTTCCACCTACAATTCCTTCCTCTTTTCGTTATTTCACTTATCAAATTCCAAATCAACTCTCAATAGTCAAACATTATCTCTTACGGAAATTTTTAATTGAAATGCATACTTTCATTAGCACTCACGAAAGGAAATTACATTTTTCGCATATCAGCCCTTTAACAGCCAGGCCTGCATTGTTCATGTCTCTCAAATGTCTATCCCAAGACATGATATATGGTACATGCTTAATAAATGAAGATATTTAGTAAATTAATGAATTATAGCACCTATCAAAATCTTTGAAGATGCATGTTGAAAGAAAGAAGAAACAGGGTTAGATTGTAAATCCTTTGAGGACAGGAACCATATCCTATTTTTTTATTGCACACAAACTATTGCTAGCTGAAAATTCATAGACAGAGCATAGAGTAGTTCAGGAGGACACAAACTCTGCATCTAAACTGCTGGATTCAAATCACCTGGCTGCACCAGCATTATTTGTGTGACTTCAGACAATACTTTCCTCTTAAGGTGCTATGAAGATTAGACAGTTAATACTTGTAAAGTGCTCAGGACCATGCCTGCTATGTAGGAGGCGCTATGAGGTATTATATGTTAATAATAATATATCACAAAGAACAATGAGTCTGGAAAAACTGCTTGTGAGTTTGTGCTCTGCCTGGCACATGTTAACATAGTAGCTTTCTATATGTGTGATGAACATAATGAAAAAGAATAGAACTGTAGCTAATCATACCTTCTGTATGTGCTACTTTGGGAGAACAAGATTGATTAGATATTTTCCTTTGTTAAAACACACTGTGCTTTATTGATGAGAAAACCATTTAAATGCAACAATTTAAGAGAAAGTTGGGACACGATTCTCCCCCATTGTTATAAATGTTAGCAATAATACATTTATAAGGAGTGTTTGAAACCAAATACACATTGAGCCTTTGGACACAGGAGTTAGAGGGAACTGAGTAGCCTGTAGAAAGCCAAAGTAAACAAACAAGTGTCTAGGTGAAAGGGGAAGACAGATGCTTCCCAATATATCGGTGTCACTCAAGCAAACCCACTGTATCCAGAATCCCCATGTCACATTTTCTTCTGTAATCACAGGATGCTCCTCTCTATTACAGCTGGCTCAAGTACAAAAGGGATTTCACACAAGGAAGGGATATTTTAAAACTTTGAGTAGTTTTTATTTTGAAAGATACCATCCTCTTTTCCCCCAGTCAAGATCAATTTAAGCAAGAACAATGTAACTTTTACTAATATACCCTGTAGAAGGCATATTCTAAATAAAGTTTAATTATTGGCCATATTTGGTAATAACCATCATAGCATAGACTGAAATTTTAACCCACATCTCAGACTATAGAGAGTAAATAGGAAATGAGCTTGTCAGTAGAATTACGTTGTATTATCCTGTAATACAAACTGCTGCTGTCCTTGTCATATTTATAACACACTGTATCAGCAGAATGGCCCAATACCAAAGGGCAAGAACAGTTTTAGCCGGTCTGACAACAGGTGCACACATTGCGTATGTGAAATTAAAACGATGTGAACAATTATGTCAACCGCACTAGCAAGTGCGAGATCATCAAATGCTAATAGCAGCACTTTTAGAAATAAGAGGTCCTGATTATTCCCACAATTCCAAAGGTATATTTTTAATGGAAGAGAATACATTTCACCTGGCCACCACTACAACAACTTCACTTGACACAACACTGCTGGCCCAGAATTTAGAAAAGAATGAGTGTTACATAATGTTAATTCTGAGTGTTCACTTGCCTCTCTCTCATCTTGAGAGAGTTGCAAAATATTTCCTTAGAAATCCCTTTGCTAGACTACATAAAAGTTGTTTTATAACTGGACACTTTTTATTTTTACTGAAAGGATGTCAAAATCTGAAAACTTTATGCCATCTGAGATAAAGCAAAGGACAGAATGTTGTCATAAAGTACTGGGAGCATTGGATGCAGCAAAGTAGAGTAAAAAGAGAAGATTGGGAATCAAAAATCTGGATTTGAATTCTGGCCCCATCACTTGCTTGCTTCATCTACTGAGCTAAATTAATTAATCTACACACATCAGAGTTTTCTCACATGTGTAAATGAAGTAACAAATCCTACTATATGAGGTTGTATTGGGAATTAAATGAATTTTCAATATGAAAGGGTCCAACGTGGTGTCTCACCAATAAATTATGTTAAATATATGTAAATAAAACTGAGTAATAATATTATATTGTAACTTTATATTCGAAATTCCATAAGCCTTTCAATTAATTTGGTTTGATCTATGTCCTAAAAAGCATTTTTGCAATAATGTGTATGATTCCATATACCTGATATATGTTTTCCTCTACAGGAGCGATTATGTTTTAATGCATAAATATAATTTGTTTACTTATTAAATTTATTTGATTTTTTTCCTGGGCCTCCCATATCTTGGAAACTTATGTTTATTTTCTGTCTCTCCATACCAGGATGGAAGCTAAATGAAAGCACATGTTTTTGACCATTTTGTTCACTTTTGCTTTCCCAGCCTAAAAACAGTACTTGGCATATAAGAGACACATAATAAATATTCTTTGAATGAGTGAATACAAACATCTTTTCCTTCAATGTGTAGAAGTCTTTGTTATAAATACAGCCATGGAAGACTGGGAACAGAAAGTGGTTAAGACTTGTATTAACAAATTTATTTCAATAGAATTGTAAATACTAGCAAGAATGACAAATATAGAGTTAAATATTTAAGCAAAATAATGAATTTACAGTAAAAATTGAATAAAGAGCTACTTTATAAAAGTACTATATTTCTCAGTTACTTACACATTTAAAAATCTTTACTAAGACTTACCGTGAAGCCAAGAAATATAGCTCTTCAAAATATAGTAAGGCTGAAAAATAAAACTTGTTTTTTTTTTCACATAGCAGAAAGATTTTTTTCTGGATTTATTAAAGTAGCCATGTATTTATGACATCTTTTGATGTTCAAATACAACTCATATAGTAGACTTTGGATGTGTGTTATATATGACTAAAAGTTAAATTGCCTTCCTGGTCCAGATTTTGGCATTTTAGAAATATTATAGAGTCTATCATAGTGAATTATGTGTTCATTTTTGCACTGTAAGAATAAAATACAGATTCTTTTCCCCACTGGTGAAATGTACTCTTATTTTAGGGAATGTAAGAAGTAAATGGAAGGAATTTTCTAGGATCTATATCATATACATTTTCTATTTAAAACTTATGTTATAATTGCAGGACACTTTAGGGACCACAGGTTTCTGGATATGCAAGGTGAGGCTTGAAAGCATGTCCCTCTCCAAATGAAGCTTTAGTGTACTTCTGTTTGCATCTTACAGCTGACTTAACTGAATCTCAAGCTGATGATGGGAGGGCTACACATTTCTCAGAACTACTCCAGATCACTGAGCATCTTCTGACTGTACTCCCAAACCGTACTTTGGGGCTATCCCAACCTTCAACATCTAATGATAGGCAAGTTCACTCACCTGTGGATTTATATACAAATAAGAGAGATAAAAAAGTAATAAAGTTTGCTTATCAAAAATGTATTCCTGCAGGGCGTGGTGGCTCACGCCTGTAATCCCAGCACTTTGGGAAGCTAAAATAGGAGGATCACTTGAGGTCAGGAGTTCAAAACCAGCCTGGCCAATGTGGTGAAACCTTGTCTCTACTAAAAATAGAAAAAATAGCTGGGCATGGTGGTGTGCCTGTAATCCCAGCTACTCTGGAGGCTGAGGCAGGAGAATGCTTGAACCCAGGATGTGGAGGGTGCAATGAGCTGAGATCGTGCCACTGCACTCCAGCCATGGTGACAGAGCGAGACTGTCTCAAGAAAATTTTTAAAAATTAAAAAAAAATGTATTCCCAATAGAGCTTTGATGAAATAGCACCCACTTAAACAGGCATCACCAAAACCCATTATCACCTATATCCCTCAATGTAATTTTCCCAAGGGCACACTTCACAATGTATAACTATATATTATTTGTTTAATGTCCACTTCTCCTACTACTCTGTTCCATGAGGGCCTAGATTTGTCTGCTTTGGCCATTGTTGTATATGCAACTTACTGCCAGGTTCTAAATAAGAAGGAATGGATGAATAAATGAGCAAATGAATGAATACATAAATGTAAAGTATGAGCTTATTTTTTATAAATACATGCATGCCCTTTAATTATTTAACTATTAGGTGGAAAAAAATCTACCAGAATATTTCAGTCAAAGGTTCAATATTTGCATCTCAAACCATAAAATATTCATGACCTCTTCATCTCCAGTGACTCTCCTCCACTTCGTTTCAAACACCTGCTCCAATGGCCATATCTTAGACATTGTGGTCTCAGAACAGCCCCTCCCCTGAAATTATAAAATGAGATATTCCATTCTTTGATTGCACTGAAGTGTCTGGCTCTTCTCATTTATTTCAAATTTATTAGTTCTTTAGTCATTAGTCTTTTCACCTAATGTGAACTTTTTTTTTTTTTTTTTTTTTGAGACAGGGGCTGGCTCTGTCACCCAGGCTAGAGAGCAGTGGCATGATCTAGGCTTACTACAACCTCCTCCTCTCAGGCTCAAGCCATCCTCCCATCTCAGCCTCCCAAGTAGCTAGGACTACAGGCGCATGCTACCACATCCAGCTATTTTTTAAATATTTTTTGTAAAGATGGGGCTTTTACCACCTTGCCAAGGCTGGTCTTGAACTACTGGGCTCAAGCAGTCCATCTGCCTCAGCCTCTCAAAATGCTGGGATTACAGGCATGAGCCACTGTGGCCAGCCTGAACTTTCTACTGGCCTCCTTTTTCCTCAGCCTCTCTCTCTGCAGTTCAGATTCCATGGTCCAACACTCCAACCACCCTCTATCTAATATATTAAATTTCCTTGCTGTGCTGCACTTCCTTCACATCCACATGGCAAAACATCAAACATGAAAGAGCTTGGAATCCACAGTAAATCCTCTGCCTTTAAGGAGCTAACAGCCCACCAAGAAAATCAGACATAAGCAACTAGTTATAATAAACTAGGATAAACCCAGTAAGTCAGGAGGCATAGCATGCTGTGGAAACACTGAGCTAAGGGACCTGAGGGAGATCTCAGCAACGTGCCTGTCCTGCACCTGGGCTGGGATTGCTGAGAGATACTGAAGAAAAGCACCCAGTGGGACAGATTTTGGATGGCAAAACCGATTCTGCCTCTGTCCTCTGGCTTGTTCTCATCATTCTTTCATTTGTCTATTTAACATTTTTGAGCATTTTCTAGGTAACAGGCATGGTCTTAGGGTCTGGGAATGCAACAGTGAAGCACCCTATCCAGGTTCTAGCCCTCACTAGGAGGGCTAGTGTTTTGCAAGAAGAGCAATAAACCATTAATGAAATCACATAATTTCCTATGGAGATAAGAGTTCTGGTTTGTTAAAGAATGATCCAGGAGCTCTTTTAGATGATTTGGTGATTAGTCTTTTGATTCTGATTAATCCAAATTAATCCAAATTAATCCAAAATGATTAATCCAAAGTAAGTCTATTATAACTAATGCTTGCCTATATTGTGAATATTGTGTATGAAAGAAAATAAGTAATTAAATTAAATCAGTAATTTATCTTCCTATCTTTTCCTTGCCTTGAAGAATTGTCTTTTTTCTCTTGAAGGTCCTTGCTGTTGACCTTGAAGGCCAGTACCATAATACTTTTTATTGTGAGTGGCAAATAGCGTCAGATAGGAAACAAGAAATGACTGGCAATGATGATAAAAATGGAGCAATGCAATGCTACTTATTATCTTGTTAAGTAGCTAGTAGGAAACCTAAATGCGGTGAGTAGTGGAGAATTTAAAGGTTGATAACTCTATGCTGGTCTTTATACGTAGGTCCGACTTTGAAGAACTTTGATTTGGTTTACTAAAGCCATGTCAGGAAGGAGGCAGATGAGGAAAACTGGACTTAGTATAGACAGAAAAAGAGTGCTTTTCTTGTTTTGTTTTCTGGATGGATGAGTACCCTGATAGAATTTCAGAAGGCGAGACTTTTACTACCTGAATCGCAGTATTTTCTAAAAACCGCAAGCCACCCCTTCCATATTGCAGAAAAGAGGTTAAAAAAAAGAGGTAAAGAAAGAAAGAAAGAAAAGAAAAGAAAACAGTGAAAGTAACCTGAGTCACTAAACCATAAGAGGGATGCCTGAGACCTGCCCTAAGGAGGCATTAAACCATACAGGGGAAGCCTGGGAAGAGAGAGAACTGTGAGGGCCTGAGCAGTGAGTTCTGTTCTATGGAGCCTGATTTGGTGTAGAAAGAGCAAAGAGAAGCAGCAACAGGATGGTCAAATAATGCTATGTGTAACTGAGAAAGAGAGAGCTAAGGTACAGAGAATGAAAACATTCCAGTATTGGAGAGAAAATTTCAGGAAAATTAATTTGTTGTGAAGACACTCAGTAAACAGAAAGGGAGTCTGTAAGCCTAGTTTCTATTAGAAGGGAAGAAGGCACAAAAGAAGAAAACAGAAGGAATAGCAGGGCAGACCCTGACTTGGACATCCCAGGCTAGAAATTAATTAATGATAAATGCTGTAATGCCTTAGTTGCCTTAGTTCACATCTGAAATACTGATACCTTATAGATCGGTCATGATTTTTCCTTATCAGAAGACTTTCCATCAAATCTATAAAACAGTAAACATATAATCTGAAGGTAAACTCTGAGAATTCCTGGGTAACCTCAATGTTTAATGCCCATTCTCCTCACTCAAAACTTTGGGACCATACGGTGCCTTTCTGAAAAAGGTGTACAACACAGAGCTGTGTAACTGAAGGAAGAAGAGAGGAGAGAATGGAGAATGGAAGAGTGCAAGTTGCAAGACAAAAAAAAAAAAAAAAAATGCAACCTGAACAGTTTCGCAACGCTTCAAACTCCAGCAAATGTAGAATCATGCTGGGTATAGCTTCGGCTCCAGTGAGGCTCCTTCCTTCCCCAAGCTAACCCCTACGCATAGGGTGAATCTTGGAGGCAGAAAGAAATTAAAGGCAAAACTAAGAACACAAGGACAGTGTTTTCTCCTAAAGTGCATATCTAGGATCACCAGCTGTGACTTCTAGCCTTCCTGTGCCTGGTGTTCATTGTTGTCTGCCAGCCTCCACCTCCCCTGGAATGCTCATTCGTTTCAACCAATGTGAAGGAACCTATACTCTTTCCCTTTTCTGCTTCTCCTAAATTTTCCCTTTTCTCTTTTCTGAAAAAGTATCTTTTTCAGCCTCCTCTTCAAGGCTCCTTTGAGATGCCACCCACGTTGCACAGCTGTGGGTCAGCAGTTTACTATTTACTGTAACCTCACAGACATAACACAGATCCAACTGAGATTACAAAAACACAGGGATAGCTGAGAGATGGTGGTCTTGACAGTTTCCTTCATTATGTCTGTAAGAATAAGACAGAACTTGAAAATAAGATAGAACTTGAAAAGATAAAGAGAACGTAGTTCACCTTTTTTTTTTCCTTTTTTGACACAATTTGATGTGATTCCCTATTTTGGAGCCAATGAAAATCACTCCTGAGTGTGTCCCTCTTTAGTCTCTTCTCCTTCCCTCTGCTTTCCTCTTCCTTAGACTCTTCCCCTATCCCTGTCCTGTCTTTCTCAGACACTCACATAGCACTTAACAGAAGGAAGAAGTTATTTTCTTTCTATCTCCAAGCCCTGATTGCTTTTGCTGGTGTTAAAGTAAATGCTCTCCAGCTGACTCTATGAGGTTTCTTATTGCCCTCTGAGTCTTACCACAGTGTCAGCAGTAGTTAAAGGACGTCCGTAATGAAGAAAATAGAGAATTGACAATCCACAATTATGAAATAACAAGCAGAGGACAAGGAAAGACCTTGTTCTTTTGAAAAATGTTAATATAATAGCAAGTCTCTGTCCCCTGATGCCAAAACAACAAGTTAATTCAGCAATTCAGCCTTAAAATAGTAAGTCTATACAGAGGCAATATAGCAGAAAGGAAAGAGCATTGGGGCAATTACAACAACAATATCAATACCTAAGCATCATGCGGTCGACCAAACATTTTCACAGATGCCAGAGACTCTGAATCTGAGTTTGAGGCTTTTCCAGCCACAACACAAAGCCTCCTGAATCTCAAGTCTCTATTTCCCCCAACCCCACTCATGATCAGCTGACACTAATTAAGTTCCACTTGATGAACTTCATTTTCTTCATCTGTAAATGAGCACTGACACCTTCCATCTACTTTTTGTGCTACTGTAAGAATCCAAAGTGACTCAGTTTAGACAAAAGCATTCCAAAATATGGAGTCCCACACAAGCGTAAGATATTACTAGAGAAATAGATCTTAAAGAATTGTCAGACAAAAGAACATGTTGAAAAATTAACATAGTTTAAGTAAAAGCCCTTAAATTTTTTTTAAATGGGGAATAACAGCTTTTTTTGTTTGTTCGTTTCTAAATTTTTTTATTATACTTTAAGTTCTGGGATACATGTGCAGAACGTGCAGGTTTGTTACATAGGTATACATGTACCATCGTGGTTTGCTGTACCCAAACAGTCATCTACATTAGGTATTTCTTCTGATGCTATCCCTCCCCAGCCCCCCACCCGCCGACAGACCCCAGTGTGTGATGTTCCCAGAAATACCATTTGACCCAACAATCCCATTACTGGGTATATACCCAAAGGATTATAAATCATTCTACTAAAAAGACACATGCACATGTGTTTATTGCAGCACTGTTCACAATAGCAAAGACTTGGAACCAACCCAAATGCCCATCAAAGATAGACTGGATAAAGAAAATGTGGCACGTAAACACCGTGGAATACTATGCAGCCATAAAAAAGGATGAGTTCATGTCCTTTGCAGGGACATGGATGAAGCTGGAAACTATCATTCTCAGCAAACTAACACAGGAACAGAAAACCAAACTCCACATGTTCTCGCTCATAAGCAGGAGTTAAACAATGAGAACACAAGCCTTTAAAATTTAATCATATTGTTTCATAAGCGTTCTGTCAAATTACATGTAGGATACAAAAAGGTAGTGTTTATATATGAGACATTAAATAATTTTAAAATACTAAATAAGCCATTATCTCTATGATTATTCTCTGATAAAAACTCAGTGCTAGAGCAAACATATCATTATAAAAATACATAGGGGCATGATGTCATACATACAGTGAACATACTTCTTAGATTTGGGGGCTGGACCAGAAATTAGTCCATTTGTTAATTGTACAACTACATATGACTTCATTTTTACTTTGTTATGTTCTATAAATAAATTCACACATTAGGATATTAGCCCTTTATGAAACATTACATTCTCTGTTTATCGCTCAGAAAATATGGTCACAAGTGTCTACTCTTAGGGTCTTCCAAGGGTTCCCCTAGAAATTCCTGAATTCCTTGCTTTAATTCTCCATTCAATTTTCATTCTTCTCTATCTACTTTCCCAACCACAAAATGTGCTTCTCATCCTCCCACCTCCATCCTGCCCAGTTTGTGACCTCAGTTGTTCTCCTAGCTCTGCTGTCCCCTTTGCATTTCACTTCTGCACACACACACACAGCCCAGAGTTCTGCAATGGGTCATCATGAACGAACTTGTGGCAGCCGGCCTAGAATCTCTTTCTGGCACAGAGCAAACATGTCCTCCTCTGGGCAGAGTCCAGCCTAATGGAACACCTGCCGGATGTAAGGGTAGAATTCAGGCACTGATTTAGGGATTAAGAGATTCTCCATCCACTGCCTATCCAGTCACCACATTTATACCCCCTGGAGGAGGAGGATAGGTTCTAAGCCCATTTCAACTGTTTAACATTGTCAATCCCATGCATAGCATCTCTGGCTCCTGCCTTCTCCCCTTGGCATTCAGATGCATGTAGCAACCAGTTCATCTGGATTTTCCCCAGAAATCCAGGGCTCCCTTGAGCTGAACAGATGGTTAAGGATGGATAGCCAACATCCTTCATGCAGGTGGCTCTGCATCTCCAGGGCAGTAAAGATCGGCTCCACTTCTTGTTGAATGAAGGGCTGCAGGATAGAGGCACATACCTGGCAAACCCAGAGAAACGTTGCCTTATCCTATTCATGGAGGGACCATGGTATTAAGAAGAATGTGGGGAAGAGGTACCACATTCCACATAAAAGAAGTAGACCAAGTTTCCTTCAGCACACATTTATGTCTGGGCATTCATTCTGTTTTCTTGCTTACTCTTATTACCCTCATGGCTATTCACTCTCCGTGGCCTTCTTATCTGGTCCTTTCAGTTTACTGGCCATTACTGACATGCAACCTTGGCTCTCCTTTGAGACAACCCTGGGTAACACTTTCTCCAACCTGACTGAGATCCAAGAACTCTCCCTCCCATGCTTTCCCTCGAGAGGTGCCTCCACTCTACCCTGTCTACCTGTTCCTGCTCATGTTGCCAGATGCTGCACAATCACACTAACGTATCATAACAAAACCTCACATATTCTTTCAAAATCAGCCCTGGAGATCTCCAAATTACATATTCATTCTAGAATGTTTAAGTATCAGATGGCCAGATTCTTGCTCCTACAATCAAAAATTGGCAGGAAATGCCAATATCTAAAATTCCCAAATATAAGCACTCTTTCCTAAAGGAAGGAATAATACATGATCTAATACTGATATCAAGTTTTCAAGTCCTTAAACTCTCTAATCCTTTCTTTATGGGATCAATTGTGTTGCAGAATAGCTTTTGGCTTTCTTCTGTGGCTGGCTGGAAAAGGAATTTCCTTTCCTAGAGTTCTAGTTTATTCTTAAAGGGTCTAGCAGTAGGTCTCAGTCAGGTCTAAAGTGGAAATCATGTCTTAGATGGTCAAACAAATTGCTTTGGTCTTCTTAGGAAGGCAGGAGGTGAAGACATCTTTTGAATGAAGGAAGACCTGGGTGGGGACGTTGTTTGGGAATAATCAGAGTTTAAGAGCTGAATGGAAAATACGAAAGAAGAATTCAAGGACTGCTGACCACCACAGAGAGTTCTATACTGAATACGCAATGAACTTACACTAGATCTTGTTCATCCATTCATTCGACATATTATGTGCCAGGAATTGTGTAAACTTGGTCTCTGCCCTGATCCAGCTGACAGTAATTTATTGGAAGGTTTTGTTTTAATGCTAGATGTCACAGGGTATGGTTACATTACTATAAATGCTTGGTTACTTTGGAAATGTGCTTAGGATTACGTACACATTATTGGATAATGAGACATACTCCTATTTATATCCCAGAAAAGGGGCTTCCTTTTAAGATATTATTTTACAAGAAAAATAGGAGACAATTCTAGCTTGTGAAGTTTATATGTCTGACAGAATATATTTCCGCAAATACAGTTTATCTGCTCTCAGGCAAAACAAGTTTGTTAAAAGCAAACATGGTCATACTTTAATCATTGTTTTTTTAAAAGAAACATAGTACACTCACCTCCTTTCTTCCCTATCTTCATATACTCCCCCACAAGAAAACTAACTCTGCCTCAAACCTATCTGCTTTTAAAATAGCTTATGTAGTTCTAAAATACTTAGATAAGTAGGTTTAGCTTGTATGATTGGGAGTTTCAGATGTGTTATTAATGTTTTCACTGTTTATTCAGAAAAACAAAAGATAGTTCTTAAAGATAATAACAGAGAGGGGAGTAAAGGGAAACATTCAAAATCACTTCTGCCCTCTGGGTGTGTCCAGTAGGGAAGGTTTACTGCTCAGTATGAAAGTCAGCTTTCTGATTGATGCTTTGCTAAGGTCGGGTAGTTCCTTCACTACTATAGAAAAGTTAATTTCCTGTTCCATTTTTCCTGAAGCATTTGTGCACTTTGGCTAAATTAATACTAGATTTTCCACTAGGGAAGAAGTAGGCTTAGGGCTGTAGCTATTGGAATGCTATTATACTTCCTATTGCTTATTAAAGAAACAGTGAAACATCAAGAGGAAACTCAATTGTAGCAGCACAATTTTGGACTCCTAGTGGCATTTTGAAACATAACTTTATAACTTGGCATTTGTATAGCACACTATACTATAAATTTTTAATGAAAAGAGTGTTTCCAGTAATCACATTTGTGTTTTATATATATATATGTGTGTGTGTGTCTTCTTTTCCCAAGAGGCACCAAATGCAATGAGAATATTTTAATGATATCATTCTTTTGGATATGAAAATATATATTCCTCTGTCTTTTATAATCTCAATGTTTTTCAAAGTACTCTCAGCTAAAGTGTCTAATTAGATCCCATAGCACCTCTGTGACAGGCATTTCAATCCCTGGACCACAGACTAGGAAAATAAAACACAAAGAAGTCACTTGTCCATGGTCACTCAACTCTTCATTATGGAAACTGGGATTCCCCATTTCAGTCCCAGGTAATTTCCCTTTCTCTTGGAAAGGCTGAATGGGTCACGGCAGGATCTGTTTCAGATACATGAACTAATTTAACAGTTTGTTCTGGTGGTTTCTAGAAGTCTGCACCACCACCCTAACGCCACCTACTTTTTCCTATGCCAAAAGAAATAAGAAATATTATGACCCCGGAGCAATATTATTTTTTAAGTAAATTCCATTTTCTTCCCATAGTTACACATTACCATCAGGCTTCTTGCTCCACCTGACTCTTCCTAGATTGGCTACCCCAAATCCCTCTCTCAAGCATACTCAAAATATGCTCAGGTCAGCAATTACCAGCTTCAATTTGTCAAGATCAGCTGTGATGTATGTTACAAGAGACTTGCTATGAAAAGAACTAAAATATCAAAATTTATGAATAATTTATGTTTAATAAATGAGGGAAGATATGTTGCATTCTGACTCCTGGCAGTCAAAGTGACTTTCTTGAGCAGATGAGGAAGTATTATACACATCCCTGGAAACCCCGTGGAATATGCTTGCATTTGACTGTATCTATAGGTGCCAAAAAGGAAAGTGGACAAGTAGCTTCAAACATTTACCTGAGCAAAATGTACCGAAGAAAACACAGGGTGACAATCAAAAATACATGCTACATATGCATTATTGAAGAAAATATAATGTAACATATACCCAGTGCTTGTTTTTGAGATGAGAGCTTAAACCCAGCTTCTCAGGGGAAGAAAGGACACACATAATATTTATTGAACATTGACTCTGGCCAACAACCATGCTTGATGCTTTCAAACATATGATTTTTATTCAGTTCCCACAAATAGGGGTTAGTTACGTTTTCCAACAAGAGAACTGAGGATTTAAAAATGTAGATAAAATTTACCAGTTGTCCTATAGCTAGGATAAAGCTGGAATTTGGACCAACGTATTTCACAACATACCCATGATCTGCTAGGCTTCTTATTCAATATACTTAACAGGCTTGAGATTGAAAGCTGTGCTGAAGATTGTAAGATCTATTCTCAACAGTCATATGCAGAGTTACAGAGTTTCCCTCTTACCAAGTTACTCTGACTGGCCTGCACTATAAATGAACGGTAGGGGTTCCTACTGAGAACACCCAGATAAAGGTTAGGGACACCAAAGGTAGTTATATGTCAAGGAACATGATAAGGCCCATTCTGCACTGCCAAATCCATGTGTTCTTCTTGATAATTATTTTAATCCATCTATTATTTTGGATCGTAAATACCCCTAGCCTCTATTAGTGAATTTAATTGAAAGTTGAATAAAATTTTTTAAGATCCTTATACATGGCCGACTCAGTCTTTTATTGTCACGTTTCTTTCCGAACTCCATATGTGGTAAGTCAAAATGCTTAATGTTACATTTTGAACAAGTCTCCAAAAAGTGCAAAAGTTGACAAAGTTCTGTTTACCTTGCAAATTTCCAAATTTGGTGTAGTTTCTGCCACAGAACGTAAATCCTATGTTAGAACATGAGCTCATTCTTTTAGTGAGAACAGATCCCTTGGAAAAAATATCTAAAGGAAGCCAAGGGGGAAAACGAAACCAAAACATTCCTTTCACCCCAAAAGGCCACAGACTCAGAGTTGATAACAGGAAGCCCTTTTTATAATGTCAGTGTATTTAGTGCTTTCCATTTCAGAGGGTTTATCTTATATGAATTTTCAATTCCATTTAAACAAGAAACAGAATTGCTTAGAGGGAGAAAGAAGCAGAAGTTCCTGCCACTATCTGAAAAAACAAGAGAGAATGACACTTATAAAATGATTAATTCTTTGATACATATGACATTTAATATAACTTGTTGAAATTTGAGCTTCATCAAGCCTTCATTAAAATGTATCTAATGTAAACAAATTTGAATTTGTTTAAGTTCTCTCAGTATGAGCAATTTTTCACCCATATGCATATTTCATTATAAAAATTTAACATCGCTCTAATCAACTGTCTCAGATAAATTCACAAACATTAAATGCTCATCAGGCAGCCTAACTAATTCTATGGAAGTTGCGTACCTGTTAGTGTGTTGATAACATCTCTTGAGAGCCTCGTATACATAAACTCCTGTATTTAAATTCCATCAGCAAGATTTTAAAATCTACATCTTCCAATCCAGTTACAATATAAAAATTTATAAAAGGAATGGCTCAATTTTAGGTAGGATCAATCTGTTAAAAATGGAAATTCCTTAACAGAAATAGAGGTTAGATGATGGTGACAATGAGGATAAGAAAGAAGAGATGTAATTAGAAAGGCACAATGATTAGGAAAGGATGTTATTTTTATTATTATTATGGTAGATACTTGAGAATGTTTATAGGCTAAGGACTTCAATGAGACAAAGGAGCTGATGATAACGAGAAATCAATGATAGTTAATTAATCAAAGATAATTAATCAACTTTAATGTAGAAGTGGCATGATGATTACCATTAGCCAGAAGTCCAAGAGATAGTACAGTAAAGAGATCAAGGGATACTTGTACAGGAAAAAGGAGAAGTGGAGGACTTTTGAGTTCAGCAAGAGAAAGAAAAGAGGGAGAAGGAGTTCCTCTCATATCTTGCCCTGCTCTAGAGTTGGCAAATTCAAATTCATCATTCATTTATTTATTCATTCATCGACTGAATATTTATTCAATGCTCACTATGTATCAGAGGCTGTTTTTACACTGGGGATGTAGCAGTAAGCCAATCAACTAAAGCATTTGATCTGAAGGAGCTTATATTCTGTGTAGAAAGACAATAAACCAATGAATAGATATGTTACTCAGGGTCCAAAATCTTAATCTCTTTCCTCCTATCTGCACTGAACTCACTCCTCCCCATCCCCAGCTATAACATGCTGTTCATCTCAGCATCTCAGACTTTAAAAAAAAAAAAAAGGATTCCACAAAACTGAAGACTTGCCTATAAATAAGCAAGTCTGACGTTGAGTGATATATCAGCCTCCTTAAGTTTGGTTTTGTTTCAAAAGATTCATTTTACTGTGAAAAGGCAACAGCTTAGAGGCTGGGGGATAGAGAGAGAAACTCAACAAAGCTTTCATCTCAGACATTTCTTATCCAAAGACTTATGTTGATTGCAGCAATTATTTATTGCTCACTGACTTTGTGAAGGCCAAATGTTAGGGTCTATAGGGTCCACAGAGAGGAGGGAGTCTTCAAGGAAATTAAATAATAATTATTTTCATAGTTAATATTTATTGAGTGCTTTCTATCTGCCAGACACTTTAAGTGCTTCATGTGATTTATCTCATTTAAGGATCATGTTAGCCTGGGGAGTTGGTGATAATATATCCATATTCAGGTAAGGAAACTAAATCCTAGAGAGGTCAAGAAATGTGCCCAAGGTAACAAGTTAATAAATGGTATTAATTTGAATGCAGTGTTCATGTACTTAACTATTCTGCCTTCCCAAATTTATTAGTTTCCTAGAGCTGCTGTAACAAAGTATTCGAAGCTGGATAGTTTAAAACAAGAGAAGCTTGCTTACTAAATCTCGTAATTCTGGAGGCTAGAAGCCTGAAATAACAGTGTCAGCAGTTCCTCTGAAACTTGTGGTGGAATCCTTCCTTGACTGTCGAGTTTCCGGGGGTTTGCCGCAATCTTTGGTGTCCTTCAGTGTGCAGCTGCATGACTCCAATCTCTGCCTTCAACATTACATGGCATTCTCCCTGTGTGTCTCTGTCTTCCTATGCTGTCCTCTTCTTTTTATTTTTTATTTTATTTTATTTTATTTTATTTTATTTTATTTTATTTTATTTTATTTTTTTTCGAGACCGAGTTTTGCTCTTGTTACCCAGGCTGGAGTGCAGTGGCACAATCTCAGCTCACTGCAACCTCTGCCTCCTGGGTTCAAGTGATTCTCTTGTCTCAGTCTACTGAGTAGCTGGAATTACAGGTGCCCGCCACCATGCCCAGCTAGTTTTTTGTATTTTTAGTAAAGACAGGGTTTCACCATGTTGGCCAGGCTGGTCTCAAACTCCTGACCTCAGGTGATCCACCCACCTTGGCCTTCCAAAGTGCTGGGATTGCAGGTGTGAGCCACCACGCCCCATCTACTGCCTTCCTATAACACCAGTCATATTGGATTAGGGGCCACCTTACTCCAGTGTGACCTCATCCTAACTAATTATATCTGCGATAACCCTATTTCCAAGTAAGGTCACATTCTGAGGTACTGGAGTTTAGGGCTTCAACATATCTTTTCAGGGATGGGGTACACAATTTAACCCATAATACCAATGAATGGAGTTAGCATATGGGGCTATAATAAAATAGAAAGGACATAGGTCTCAGTCCAGTCCTGTCCACACTATCAACTTGTTATGTTACTTTGAGAGAGCCACTTTCTTTCTGTGACCTTCTTTCTCTTCACTTAAAAAAGAAAGATGTTGAACTTAATCATCTCTAACTTATTTGCAGTTCTAACATTCTAATGTTCCTTCATTTATAAATAGTTACAATGAAACATAAGTTTTATTAGGGATGTTTAAGCACACATCCACTTATGGAGATAAGGGCTGCTATAATGAAGGAAGTGAAACTCCATAGGTTCTCAAAAGCTTTAAGAATGATCATGAAGATTTCTAGAGGTATTGAGTAGAGCAGGCTCCCTGGAGGAGACTCCTGACAGAAGGAGAGATGTGGGAGTTTAGAAAATAGGCAGGCTGTTGGGTGGATTATGGATTATGGATTACACATAGAGACAGGGTAGAGATAAGGCTGGAAAAGTATGTTGGAACATGCCAGGATCAGTGTGGTTTCTACTCAATTGAGTGCGCTCAACGTTACAACTCCTGAAAGCTTTCAGCAGAGGTATTAATGGGACCTGTGCACAGACTGCCTAGAATATGCAGGCAGATGGAGGGGTAACTGGTTAAACCACTGAATGAGTCTAGGTTAGTGACAACAAGGACACAGCATTGAGATTGTGAAGATAGATGCTAAGATTTTGGAATCTGATGAACTCTTATCTGAATTAATTTGGAGGACTAGAGAAAATTCCACTTTACATAGCCATAAGGGCTGTGCTCATGTGATATTTACTAAAATTATAATAGTATAATAAAGGGCTAAATGCACAGCATGGTCCCAGAGAGAAATTAGAAGTTAGAGCTAAAAAAGGAGCACCATGTCTACAGGCAATATATAAACCACAAGGAGGAAATCCAGATCTGGGCCAGATGCCAAGGAGAAGAGGAAGCAACATGCAAGCTGGTTGAGACTAATGTTTCTGAATAAGGGCTGTGAACAAGGCAAGAATATTTTGGACTTTGCACAACAATGTAAATATGATTAATACTACTTAACTGTATACTCACAAATGGTTAAGAGGTTAAATTTTATAATATGTGGGGTTTTTTTACCTCTATTAAAAATTTCTAAGGATA
Source organism: Homo sapiens (assembly GCF_000001405.40). Classification (NCBI taxonomy): domain Eukaryota; kingdom Metazoa; phylum Chordata; class Mammalia; order Primates; family Hominidae; genus Homo; species Homo sapiens. The sequence goes on along the minus strand of NC_000007.14, from coordinate 120,996,304 downwards.
ATTCCCTTTTCTTTTTTTTTTGAGACAGGAGCTTGCTCTGTCACCTAGGCTGGAGTGCAGAGGCATGATCACAGGTCACTGCAGCCTTGACATCCCTGGCTCAAGCAATCCTCCCACCTTGGCCTCTCGAGTAGCTGGGGGGCTCCAGGCACATGCCATCAATCCCAGCTAATTTTTTTTTAACTTTTTGTGGAGATAGGCTCTCCCTATTTTGCCTAGGCTGGTCTTGAACTCCTGGACTTAAGTGATCCTCCTGCTTCAGCCTCCCAAAGTGCTAGGATTACAGATGTGAGCCACCACTCCCAGAGTTATTGAAGAAGAAGAAGAAGAAGAAGGAGGAGGAGGAGGAGGAGGAGGAGAAGAAGGAGGAGGAGAAGGAGGAGGAGAAGGAGAAGAAGAAGAAGAGGAAGAAGAAGAAGAAGAAGAAGAAGAGGAAGAAGAATAAAAAAAACTGAAGAATGTTGTGGTCTTTCTAATTTGGAGCTCGCCATGTCGCTCAGTGGCAGACCTCAGATTTGGTAAGGAGCCAGGCCAGATGGATTTGGTGAGGAGCAAGGTACAGGGAAGAAGCAAGAAATATCAAAGGTGTAAAAACTATGCATCTAGGAAAATGGTGGTTGGGTGACAGGTCCTATTCATGGAAATAGGGAGGTTAAGAGGAGTCATTGATTTGGGCATGAGGTTTGTGAAATAAATTATTTAAATTTTTGTAGTATTTTATAATATTCTAGAAAAAGGTAGCAGGAATTTGAAGAGGTAGGTGATATGTCATCTGCCAAGGGTGAAAATTAACAATAGGCAAAACTGATACATTCATCAAGGAAAAGTATAAAACAAGGCAAAGATCCAAGGACCTAAGGTTGGAAATGTCTACCTGTGTCATCAGAGAGAGGAAATGAACTCGAAAAGAGACCACAAGTTTTTCAGAATAACCTTGTTGTGTTGTGGAATTCGAAAAGGAAATTTCAAGAAAGAGTCACTTCCCAATAGCAGAACATGCCTCAGAGAAGAAGGATGTAGACTGAAAATAGATCTCATTAGATTTGGTAATAAGGGGTTCACCAAGAGAGGTTTCAATAGAAATGACCAAATGCAAAGGATAAGGAATCGGGAGAGGTAACAAGGAAGTACATGCAAAGAGAACCAGTTACAGTTTCTCTGAAGGGAAGTAGAGAGACAGGGAGCATATCATATTAGGTAGATTGCCAGGTACAAAGAAAGCTTATTGTTTTATTAGTTCTACACATGTTCGCTGGCAGGAGGAAAGATTTGGAATTGGCAATATTATAAGTAATAGAGGGTAACTGTGGAGCCAATTTTGAAAAAGGTTGAAAAGGGGGTGTTCAAGAACACACATGGAAAGTAAGATTTGGCGAAGAAGAGGCATTTTGAAACAGCCTACCAACTGGTCTTCCTGCCTTCAATTCTACTCCAGTCCATTCTGCAATGTGTGTTTTCTCACTTTCTCTCTAATACACTTATGTATTTATGCCAGTCTTTGCTTAGCATTCTTCAGGGATTCTCTGTTGCCTTTGGAATAGAATCCAGACTCCTTATCATGTGCACATTTCCAACATCTAGACCCTGCTGACTTTTCTACTTTGTGTATTTGCCTTCCTGCTTCCATCAGTAACAACAACAACAACACACACACACACACACACACACACACACACACAGTATAACAAATACTTTGAATTCTCCAAATGTATCAGGCTATCCAGCTATTTCATTTCTTATTTGCATATGCAGGCTAATCTGCATGTAATACTTTTTTCTTTCTCTACCCTCTCTAGTTCCTTCTCAACATTCAAAAAGTAGTCTTGTAATTGTCAGTTTCCTATCACCGTGTTAATTTACTTGTCTGTCTCACAGAAGCTTTTATTTCTATATAACTTGTATCTCATAAAGAGGCTAATACATACAAATTGTCCAATAAATATTTACTAAATGAATGAAAATGAATAAATGAAAGATATCGGGAGGAGAAAGGGTAGAGAGGAAGCAAGGTTCTGTAGGGGATTTTTTTTTAGTTAAAGAGAAGGATTCTCAGTGAGATAATTACAACATTTTTATATAAAAGAAGAGAGGCCTCTTGCCAAGAGTGCAAGCATTTTTTGCTGGATTTTTGGTGGATTTCTAGAAAGCAAAGTTATCAAACTACTGCCTCAGTAGTGAGTAGGCCACATTGCCTCATCTACCTTTCTAGTGGGCATTACTCACCATTGTTGTGGTCATCAAACTAAGGACAGCGTTTTCACTGTCTCTGAAGCACAGACCTGGAAGCTCCTACTCACAGTACTGATTGAAAAGGAGAGTCCACTTCACCTTTGCACCTGCAGGACGACCCCCACCCAGGGGCGAGCTTCTCTAGTGGCTGCCCTGAGAAGCCAAAAAACTCAACCTGCAAATACCATGAGAGGGACTCCAATCAACAAAAGGCAGGAGAGGAGATCAGGTGATAAATTGCTTGCTCTTTCTGCTCCTTTTGTCCAGCACCTGTACTGAGACGTGGTCGTTGAAGAAAGCCTCTCTAGAAATGACTTGCAATAATGTACTCCCTTCTGTTTGCTCTCCCTTCTCTGTTCTTTCCTCACTCTTGTGTCCCTGGGATTGCATTCTCCAACAAAGTGTTAGCATGCAAGTGTTTGCCTCCAGTTCTATTTCTAGAAAACCTGGGCCAAGTAAGGAATTTTTTTAGAAATTTTCAAATGTTAAATATACTATTTACTATTAGAAATGCAAACAAGATTAATTAGATCATTTTCAATGAGAACATCCACTTATTTGCACTGGGCTATGTTTTGATCCTTGAGAAAGTAGATGTCATATAGAATGGTCATTTAAAGAGAAGGGAGGGTCAAGAAGACATGGGAAATGAATAGTCAAGCAACAGTCAACAAAATAGTAGTTCTCATTTTGGAGCCATCAACAGGAGGTAATCAGAAACACATGGCTATGGTGAGTATAAATGTATTCCCCAAATAGCAAAGTTTCCATTAAAGAAGCATATATTAAGGAGATTTTCTTTCATTGCTTCTGTTTATAATTTAATGTGCTTCCTGTGCTATGAAATGTTAAACTGTTAGATGCTATAAAATAGATAAATCTATTGAGTGACCTACTTTGATGAAGACAACACATCTGTGTTTATATATTAAATTGAAATAATTTTAAGACTTGGCAGATTGTCAGGCAATATTCAGACTACTGATGTTGAGAGAAAACTCAGAAGAAGTGACAAAAATACATCTGCTTAGCCAAGCCCTTTGCATTATTCAAATGGAAAAATGAATTAAAGTTTGGCAAGAAAGAGGGAGAGTACTTCCTCACTATGGAAAGTTGGCATATATTATACCATGATTTCAATCCATATTGAAAACAGCTTTACACATTGAACCAGATCCCATGTGTAAAAGTGTGCAGGGTAAAGTCACCCACCATCAAATATTTGGTAGTACAGAACCCTCCATTAGGAGGCTGACAAAGTACAAAAGGTCTTCTCATAGATACAACTGCAACAAAAAAGGCTGGGAAATATGTATTACTTATTCAATGAATAAAAACTCTGATCCAAGAAGTTTTTACTTCTGTGTATTTACTTTGGTTTCTGAATATTTATCCCTGCAAACACTAAAACATTCACTGAAACACTTGTTCTAATATGCTCAGTTGAAGTCTTTAACTATGATTTTTTGATTTTAGGTTTTTAAATCTACATCCAGTTTACACATCCTGGAGGGGCAGTTAGTTTAACATGTAAACATACTGGTTGTTAAGCATTTGTAGTGGTTCTTAGCATGTTTTTAGTTCTGAATATCTGACATAAATCTATAATTTTCCCCCCAAAGATCTTCACATACACCTACATTACAGTATTTTGCATAAAATGTCATGGATGTATACATTTCATACATCTAAATACATTCTGGAATCCATGAACCCTAGGTCAAAATCAGCTGGTTTAAGTAACTTTTAAAAACACTTAAAGCAAAGATTTGACTAAGATTTGACTAAATAAAAGTAATAACAAAATCCAAAATTTACAGATAGAAACAATGCTACTTCTATAAAATGCCTCAAAGCTAATTCTAGGTTTTCAGGAAACCTATATAGCATCTAATCAGTTTTTTTAAATGAACTTCACAAGTAGTTACTTTAGAAAATGATCAATATATTGATCCCAAAAGCTTTCTCTCTTCATTTTAGCCATCTGAAAGAGTATCTAATAATTTAAATTGGAGTATGATTTGACTCTTTTTTCAAAACATATACTATAAGTAGAATTAATTTGTATCTGGTTTTAATTAACATGTGTATGATACTTTCTTTCTCACTTCCTTTCTGTCTCAAATAAAAAGTGGCTTTAATCCAGGGGCTGGCATAGGTTAAAAATGGAGTGACATGGCTAATGTTTGGAAATCTACTTTCCATATCCACTGGGCTCCTGAACTATAATTGTAAATTTAGAATCTTGCTTACAGTTAAAATACTTAAGACTGTGAATCATTTTTAAACGAAATTCATCATGTGTTTGGCATTTTTGGTGAAGAAAATTCTCAAGTGAATGTTTTACACCAGGAGCCAGTAAGTTTCAGATGGTTTATAAGTAGTAGGAGATTCAAAGTTGAAATCGAATTTTCTATGACAGCCCACAAATAACAGCTAACATATGCC